>NT_167247.2:4144041-4278768 GCF_000001405.40 Homo sapiens
GGCCGCTAGTGCCCTGATGGGCCCTGTGGCTGGGGTCTTGCACATTCTTGGGGGTGGGCCTAAGGGGATAGGGGAAGTGGAAGGGGCCTCATAGGAATTAAAAAGCTTAAGGGAAAAGGTGATGCAGTTAGGGGGTAAAACATTGAGGATGATAAAAGAGGAGACACCCGCAGCTGAAAAGTGCGCTGCAAAAGGCAGTGGGCCGTTTGGTGTGCCGGAAACATAAGAAACCACAGTACAAAACACCAATTTTATTATAAATATCAAGAACCTACAGGGTGTTTATGGGCCAGCATATGCCTTCAGTTATGTTGAAAATAGCTGATCATCTTTCCGTACATTCTGAACATTTCTCAGTTTCAGAGTGCTGGCCACACCAAAGCATCAGCCCTGGCTCTAAACTCCGTTACAGTAAGGAATTACAAATCCTGTGTTTGTACTCCAGGAAGTCTGCATTATCACGAGGAGCTTGGAAAGGAGGTAACACACTCAAGGCAAATTTCAAGTAACTCATCCTGGAGGCAGCTGCCTACTCTGCAGCTGTGGTTCTCCACCACAGAGAGAAGAAAAGGGAGGGAGATGGAGTGCGCAGGTCTGAGAAGGCTTTCATTCTGGAGCATCTGCAGGAGCCTGCACCATGGCCCAGTAGCACCCCTTTTTCTCCATGAGCTGCTGGTGGGTTCCCCCCTCCCGGATAGCGCCTCCTTCCAGAAAGAGGATGTGGTCAGCCTGCTCCACCAGGCTGAGGTGCTGGGTGATGAGAAGCACTGAGCGGGAGTACCGCTCAGGGCTTTCGTACAGGAGCTGCTCCACCTGAGGAAAGACATCGGACCGTCAGAGCCGGGGACTACCCTCAGCCCAGGGAGACACCTGTGTTTCCAGGGCTGGGACTGACCTCACAGGATCACTGCTGGCTCTGCTAACAACCCCAAGGACACCAACGTTTCCCATTCTGAGTACTTCTCCGCAAACCCTTTGTTTCATTAAGGACTGTTTTACATGAAGGGTGCAAAAGTAGGATAAAAATGAGAACCCTAGGGTGAAACACGTGACAGAAGAATAAAGACTATTGAATAGTCCTCTTCTCTACCCATGGACTTGGCATTTTTATATTCGATTTTAAGGAAATATAACTTAGTAGTAAAGAGATGAGCATTCAAGTCAGGCAGACCTGAATTTGGGTCAAGGCTGCGCCACTCAAAAGCTATATGACCTCTATATGAGCAGCTTATTCAACCTCTTTTAACCTCCATTTTGTCATCTGTAGAATGATGATAAATGCCTAGCTCAGAAGGATTCCTAATGAATAAATGAGTGACAGTGCATGTAAACAGACTAGCTTAATTAATATTAATATGATTAGGATGGGCTGGGCCCAGTGGCTCATGCCTATAATCCTAGCACTTTGGGAGGTCAAGGAGGGAGGATCACTTGGGCCCAGGAGTTCAAGGCCAGCCTGGGCAACATAGCGGGACGCTGTCTGTACAAAAAATAATTTTTTTAAATAAACGATATTATGAGGATGGTCTTTTCCTTATGTTTCGCTTTAGAAATTCAGTCTATAGGACTGGGCGCAGTGGCTCACACCTATAACCCCAGCCCTTTGGGAGGCTGAGGGGGGCAGATTACCTGAGCTCAGGAATTCAAGGCCAGCCTGGGCAACATGGTGAAACCCATCTCTACTAAAAATATAAAAGCCAACCAGGCATAGTGGTGTACACCTGTAGTCCCAGCTACTCGGGAGGCTGAGGGGAGAATCGCTTGAGCCCAGCAGGTTGAAGCTGCAGTGAGCCAAGATTGTGCCACTGCGCTCCAGCCTGGGCAACTGAGTGAGACACTGTCTTAAAAAAAAAAAAGGAAAGAAAGAAAGAAATTCAGTCTGTAGTTTGTAGATAGTCTCTTTTAACTGATTCTAGGTGTCTTTGCCTCGTCTTCTATCTCTACTCCTTGGGGAGGCATCCAATGGAACTGGATTTGGGAACTGAGAACTGCAAGGACTGGTTTGTATAATTATGATGTTAGTAAAACTAACAGAAGATGTATAAAAGAAGCAAGATTGGGTGGGATATAGCCATTAAGAAGATGACTGCCTCACCTGTAACTGGCTGTTTGCATCCAGGGCACTGGTGGCATCATCCAGGATAAGTACACACGGTTTCCGGATCAATGCTCGGGCCAACGCCACTGCCTGTCGCTGACCCCCTGACAGCTGGCTCCCAGCCTCGTCTACCTCTGCAGAGCAAAGGGCCAAGATGAGAACGGTATAGCCACATGTGTGCACGCATGTACATGCACACAGACACACTCATGCATTCACGCACTCACACACACCAAGATCTGACGGTTGTAGCTGGATAGGGGAGATTCTGGGAAGATGAACAGAATCCTGAGGATGTCAGGATGAAGAAGCCATAGGAGCATGATCTTACAACTTCAAATTGATGTCCATGAGTAAGGAGGAACTGAAGGATAAAGGCAAGACTACTGGGGTTTCAGCAAAGGTAAAGATGGCTGGGTGGTGAGATGAGTGGAGAGAGTACCTGTGTCATAGCCCTGAGGGAGTCCAGAGATGAAACTATGGGCCCCAGACTTTACTGCAGCAGCTGTGATTTCCTCCATAGTTGGCTTCTGGGTCAGGCCATAGGCAATATTTTCTTGAAGACTTCTTCCAAATACCTGTGGCTCTTGTCCCACTGCAGCCACCTGAGATGAAATATGATGAAGAGTCATAGAACAAGGCACATGGGAGTATGGTTATCTAGAGATCGAAGACTCAAAATCTTTATTGAGAACATGTCACAAAATCATACTACCTCCCTCCTGACTACACCACCATCTCCACCCAAGGTCTCTTATCATTCCCTAACCCCTCTTTCAGAGTGCTCAGTAAGAATGCTCTTCGTATTTGATGCTCCCTGCCCTCCTTCAAGCCACCTGCTTCCATACCTGCCTGTGCAGGTAGCGGTGCTCATATTGGGGAAGGGGCTTCCCATCCAACAGCAGCTGTCCCCCGGTGGGCTGGTACAGATTCTGCAGCAGGGCAGCCACTGTGCTCTTCCCAGACCCATTGGGTCCCACCAGCGCCGTCACCTCGCCAGGGCGTAGGGTGAATGTCAGCCCCTAGAGGCCAGAGAAGCACACGATAAGAGGCTACCAAGGCCTCTAACCTTGAGAGTGTCATTGCCTTGTTACATAGCATGATGTCTTACCCCAGAAGAAAAACAGGGAAATATAGAAACTCCTACCCTCCCACATGCACAGATTTCTGGGTGATGCCTCCCCAAGGAGTAGAGATAGAAGAAGCAGCAAAGACAAGGGCAGAGACCCAGCACCACTATGCCACACACTTGATGTCAGATACCACCAGGAAAGGGAAAAATCACATTCCAAATTACAAAGGAAAAGGAAAGATGGAAGACCGAAGACACAGATTTTGCTGCAGCAATTCCTTGGAACGTGAGAGCACTCTCTTCGAAACCTCTTCTCTCATTCTCTTTGGAAGCCCAAACTGGGTTCTTGAGTTTGGGGAAGATTTATGGAACAGATGATGCCTACCATTGCCTTTAAAGGGTTAGGGAGGATATATGCTTGGCAGTAAGCAGGCTGAAGGCAGGAAGAAAATTTAGGATGGCAGAATTGCAGTTGGGGCCAGTGGAATACAGGGAGTGGTAGGTTGTACCTGTAGCACTAAGACATCTGGGCGGTTTGGGTAGGCAAAGGAGACATCTTGGAACTGGACAAGGCCCTCCAAGTGTAAGGGAGTCAACAGACCACTGGGTGGGCAGCGAGGGGTGCGGTCCAGGTACTCAAATATTTTCTCTGAGGAGCCCACAGCCTTCTGTACTCTGGGGTAGATGGAGAGCAGTACCTAGAGGGAGGTAAGAATAGTGAAAGTGAGGTAGTCTGCTTGCCAGCATTATGTGAAGCAAGAAGGGTAAAGAATGGAAGGACATCACACAGATGGTGCTGGGCCAGAGGAAGGAATCACACTGGGGAGTGAAGGTGGAGGGACCTCACCTCCACAGCCTGGGTGAACTGCATCTGGTAGAGAACAAATGTGACAAGGTTCCCACTGCTTACAGCCCCACTGGTCACCAGCTGCCCACCAATGTAGAGGATTCCCACTTTCAGCAGCATACCTGAAATCTATAAAGAGACCACAAAAAAAGGGACTGAGGTAGAGAAATCTGGAGGGGACACAAAGAACCACAGTCATTAACCTGAAGGAAATATCAAGTCCCTGTCTCCTAAGTGACATCGGCAGGCTCAATAGGCAGACAGGAGAATGAACCAGAGACCCCATGGAGTCTGACTCAATGCACATCATGCAAGTCACAGTTATCTTCACCACCATCACCACTATCACCTTGTCTGGGGAGCATTTTACTCTTCACAAAAGGCTTTCATTCATGTGATGTCAGCTAATACATGAAGAGCCTTATAAAGAAGGTTATATCACTCCATTTTTGAAAAATGAGGAAACAACCAGTCGGGCGCAGTGGCTCATGCCTGCAATTCCAGCACTTTGGGAGGCCGAAGTGGGCGGATCACAAGGTCAGGAGATTGAGACCATCCTGGCTAACACGGAGAAACCTCGTCTCTACTAAAAATACAAAAAAAAAAAAAATTAGCCGGGCGTGGTGGCGGGTGCCTGTAGTCCCAGCTACTCAGGAGGCTGAGGCGGGAGAACGGCGTGAACCCGGGAGGCGGAGCTTGCAGTGAGCCCAGATCGCGCCACTGCACTCCAGCCTGGGCGACAAAGCGAGACTCCAGCTCAAAAATAATAATAATAAGTAAAAATAAACAAACAAACAAACAAATAAATAAATAAAGAGGAAACAGTCTCAGAGAAGGTAAATTTGTTGTCATGATCACAAGACAAGTAAATTGCATCATCAAGCCAGGATCTTCGGATCACTGGCGTAGCTCTCTTTCCAGTGCATCACAGATGTCCCTCATCCCTGGCTTCCACTATTCCCATCACTCTCACTAACAAATCTACAAGGTACCAGCATGAAGCAGTCCCAGGTGCAAGAATTTATGGCGCCCTGCACTTCCCCTGAGAGGCAAAGGAAGGCCCTAGGACTGGAAGACACGCATCTCTCCAATCCACATGGTTGGGTGGATTTTATGTACCATACTGAAAGGAAGCCACCTAGCATCTTTAAAGAGAGGGAGGGGGCTAGGGACACTGAGTAGAGTCATTGAGCCTCAGGTTGCTAGGACGAAAATACTGAACCAACCATTTCCCAGTAAAGGAGGAGTGGGAGCAGGGTCATAGGAATGGGAATGGAGTCACGGCATCTTAAGGACAAGGGAATGGGTATTCATCTTCAGGTGCTCACACTAGTGGTCCAGGAGTTGACTGCATAGGCCACAGCCTCCTTCTGGTTGAGTGTCTTTATTTCTTGCAGCTTTTCCCTAAACTTCTGGGCTTCGCCCTCCTCGTTGGCAAAGCTTCGAACTGTAGGCATGGCCGACAGAGCCTCAATGGCCACCTGGCTGGACTTTGCCAGAGATTCCCGCACCTGCACTTCCAGCAACTGTGGATACATGGACAAGAGATGTCACACGGGTTGGCAAACCATCAGGGACACTAATACCTGAGTTACCTATTTGGAAATTAAAGGTGAGAAGAGACAGAGGAAAAGGAGAAAAGAGAAAGAGACACAGCTATGCCCCTTGGATGCTAAAGAAATACGAGGAAGAGGAAAATGACTCAGAACGGGTTGGGGATCAAATTCTTAAAGACAGATTGTGGGGAGAAGCTAGAAAAGAAGACCCAGAGAGTATGGAGGTTAATGTTGAGCAACCTGGGAACATGGACCACAGGGACAGGGTGTTCCATGAAGATGGAGAATCAGTAAGGGTGCCAGGAAAGCTGGACTGAAAGCAATGTGAGAGGAACTGAGTCTGCCAAGTCTGGGAGATGAGGGTCTGTGTAGAGCGGGCCAACTCCATGAACATACCTGGTACCATTTTCCCACCTTCTTGGGCAGAAGGAAAAGCAGAGGCAGGGTGATCAGGGTGACCATGGTGAGGGACACTGATCCCCAGAGCATGATCCCCAAGAGACATAGGCCTCGCACCAGGTACCACAGAAATAAGCTCAGATTCTCACTCAGAGAATCACTCAGGGTGGACGTGTCCTCTGTTACCCGAGACATGATGTTACCTGCAGGGTTGGGGAGAAGAGAGTGAGGTGAATCAGACAGGTTCCAAGTGATGAGACGAACTAACAATGAGCCAGGATGCCAGGGTCAGGGGTGTCAACATGGGGTTCTAAGGAGGCTGCAGGAAACAAGGTTAGGGTTCTCCAGAGGTCTGCAAATCTCAGTGCAGGGAAGATGAGTGTTAAAGAGGAAAGGCCTGACCTTCATTTTAATTATAAAGTCATTAATGCACATGTGAATTTCCATTTTCCTGAAAGCTTTCTGTTCCCTAGAGAACCTGTATGTCCCATGCTATACACACAGGCAGGAAGAGCTTAAACTGGTCACATAACAGAGATGGAGGAGGAGGGTGCTGCTAGGAAGCATGCCAAAGTCTGTGGAGCACTCACTGGGACTAGGGTTCTAACCCCAGGTCTATCTCTAGCCATATGTAACTGTACAGCTTCTAGTGCTGCTAGAAAGCATGCCGAAGTCTGTGGAGCACTCAAGAGACCAGGGTTCTAACCCCAAGTGTGTCTCTAGCCATATGTAACTGTGCAGTTTCAGCATTTAGGGTCTTGGCCTCAGTTTCCTTCTCTGTCAGATGAGGCAGTTGGTCTCTATGAGCTCAAAATTTCCAGGTTTGAAATTCTATGGTTTCTATCTAAGGATACATAGGAATAGATTTATAAGAAAATGCTAGATGAAAACTCTAGGTTTTTCTTAAGGTAAGGAGGACAATATTTTGCTCCTGAGGTATATCAAGAATGAGAAAAACAATTGTGTGTGTGTGTGTGTGAGAGAGAGAGAGAGAGAGAGACAGAGACAGAGAGAGAGAGACAGGGAGAGGGTATATCAAGAATGAGAAGGAACAATGTGTGTATGTGTGTGTGAGAGAGAGAGAGCGGGGAGGGGGGAGATCAAAGCAGATGTATGAGGATATGAACAGTACATGGCGTATAATGAAAGAGTTTCAGGAGAAACCTGTCTGGTTCTGTTGGAAAAACTCCGTCTCCTGGCGCAGGACAGCCCCAAACACCTCTCCCTGCAAGTGGCTGTGCACGTGGCCCATGGTGTTGTTATAGATCCCGTCACCCACGAACTCCAGCACTGCACTATAAAGAACCCGGAAAAAAAGGGGATCAGGGTGTGTTCAGGGAACAGACTGAAGGTCCCAGGTATCCCCATATAAGTGCATTTCGGACAGCAGCCCCAACTTCCAACTCCCTCATTTGCAGGGTGCCCCATTTTCAGCCCCCAGACCTGGCTATGGTGAGAATGGACATGAGAGTTAAGTTTCGAGTGAAGGTATCGGCTGAGCCATCTTGTAGAATCCAGTCAGTGAGGCGGCCCGTAAAGAATGGAATGGCCATCTCCCCTGGAGAAAGAGAAGAGAGGTCACGCACAAATATTAAGTCTAAGTAGGTCAGTTCCAGTCAGACTGGCCCCACCACGCCTCCTCCCCCTCACCATTATCCTGGAGGGCATCAGCAGAAAGGAAACACTGACGTCTCAATCCCGAACCTAAATAGGCTGCCCTGGAACTCACTACCCTGTGGTTGCTCTACCAGAACTTTCAGGATTTTATTAGGAAGGCTGGAGATCATGAAGTAGAAAAGCCTCCTGTTAGAGATGAGGATGCCCCGCCCTTCGGCCCCAGAGCAAAGGATTTCCCCGCTTCCGGCGTGGCCCAAAGAATCAAGACCCGGTCAGCAATGGAGCCCAGAACCTCTGGCCCCCGCCAGTCCAGTGCCGTTTCTTCTACACCGAAGTGGTGTTCCAAGACCCACGCTAGGAGTCCTTCTCCTGCTCCACATTTCCCAGAACCCACGCTACTCTACCTTACTGACAATTACCTTTGATTCCTGTCCCAGTCCCCTTGTGTCCTCCCCTCTTGCCCTGCGTTCCCCTTACCAAGAGAGGAGAGGACCACCAGGACCAGGAACAGCGAGAGGCGGCGCGTCTCCGAGCCCAGGCAGCCTAGAAGCCGACGCACAGGGTTTCCAGAGCCGCCCTGACCGCCGGGCACCCAGAGGCTCCCGAGTTTGTGCCACAGGGCTGCTGCGGGCAGTGCCGCTGCATAACTGACAACGAAGGCGGTAGGGTGACTTCCCCAGTGCAGTAGCCTGGTGCTATCCGCGGACCCGGGGGCTCCCCATGAGATCAGCTCTCGGAACAAGGCAAGTCCCGGCAGGGCCAAGCCCAGTGCCGCAGCTAATGGCTTCAAAGCAGCCAGCCAGCCCTGGGCACCTGCGTTTTCGCTCTTGGAGCCAACCGTTGCCCTGAGGACCCCGCAGGCCCCCAGCCAGAGCACGGCCCAGCGGCTCAGGCCCACCGCCCAGACCCGGAGCAGTGGCAGCGCGGTGGGCACCAGCAGGGAGAATATGCGGGGCAGCGCGGTCCGGAGCAGCACCCAGTCGGCGAGAAGTAGCAGTACTGTCCCCAGCCATGCGAGAGAAGCTCCGGGGAGGCAGCGGCACCCGCGGGGAGCGGGACACCTAGAGCTAGCCATTGGCACTCGGACGCCGTCCCGGTCCCGGCCGGGCCTGGGACTCTCCGCGCCCCGGTGGGGCCTGAAGCTCCGGGTACCGCCGAGTCCTCCCCTACTGGCGGCTGGGGGAGGGAACGAGGGCGGGGCTCTCGGAAAGTCCCAGGAACAGGCTGATCCTGCGCTGGCGAGAAGCTCAGCCATTTAGGGGAAAGCGAAATCGAAAGCGGCCGCCTGCTCACTAGATAACGCCTACTTCCAAAAGTGGCCTGCCCAGACTATTTTGGTAGCAAGCGTGGAAATCAGATCTGAGAATCTCGGGAGCAGCCCTGGTGCCCAATTTTCTCCATCACGCACACCCTTCTCGCCTCTCCCTGCCTCCTGCCTTTCCACTTGCACCAGTTTTCCCACCCCAGCCTCAGGGCGGGGCTGCCTCGTCACTTGTCTCGGGGCAGATCTGCCCTACACAAGTTAGCGCCGCGCGCAAAGCAGCCCCGCAGCACCCAGGCGCCTCCTGGCGGCGCCGCGAAGGGGCGGGGCTGTCGGCTGCGCGTTGTGCGCTGTCCCAGGTTGGAAACCAGTGCCCCAGGCGGCGAGGAGAGCGGTGCCTTGCAGGGATGCTGCGGGCGGGAGCACCAACCGGGGACTTACCCCGGGCGGGAGAAGTCCACACCGGGGTAATGGGTCTGGGCTTGAGGGTTGGCAGAGGGGTGGAGGAGATGCAGCGGCCAGGGGACCCTGGAAGCGCGCGCGGAGAAGTGAATGCAGAGACCAACGGGAGCGCAGGGAGGTCGCCGGTAGCAGCCAGCGCTTGCAACCCGCAATGAGCATAGAGTATTTCTTTTCTGAGGGGGGTCGTCTAGAGTGTCCGTGAAGGGACCAGGCACGCGAGGCTGGTGGAAAAAGGGGGTGCTTTGACTCTTAGCTGGAAGCGTCAACGGGAAGCTACTCTAAAGCGCTTTCGCTTTCACTCTGGTCCCGGACAGTGGGGGCTGGTTAAATCAAGAAAGGGGGTTGGGGATGGTGCAAAGAGATGAGGAAATGGTGCCCTGGGTGAAGTAGAACAGCACTTGGGAGAAGGAAATATAGGCACTTATTGAGAAGGACCAACTCATCACACAGACTTTTGATAAACTTGCCACTGGGCAACTCTTAGCCCAAGCACTGATAATGGGCGTTCTGTGTTAACTAGTGATGCCCTTCCCTAGCTTGACCCAGGAAGGCCTCTCCTTGGCCCAGATGCTGCCTTACTCCCTTCCCTGTGTCTTCCCTGCCCACTCCCATGTGCCCACTGGGGGGACTTTGCTTAGGATGGGCGCCTGGGGCAGATGGCAGCCCCAAGACTGGCTGGCTGGCTTCTGCTCTGGACTACTGCCACCACTCGTGGCTTGGGGGCGGCTTTGTTAGAGAGGAATAGCCTCTAACTTGAAGTTAACCCTGTTCTTTGACCCTCTATTCATGATAAGTCTGTCCGTCGGAAAGCATACTCAGAGGAGCGTCCTTTGGGGCCAGAGTAATTTACGGCCTGGTAAGAAAGACACAGTGAAACCACTTATAATTTGGGAAATCTCCCCTCACTGCCAAAAGAGCAGTGGCAAGTAGGAAGTAGAAGTGGAAACAAGGGATAAGAGTTAGACCTGAATTTTAGTCCCAGGTCTACTATTAACTCTGTGTGACTTTGCATAAGTCGTTTGCATTTTCTGTGACTTGGTTTCCTCATTTGAACCGAGGATCTTTAAGGCTCCTTCCAACTCAATAGTAGAATAAATGTAGCTTTATCTTCCCTCACTTCTTCTTGATTCTTTTCTTGACCTGGAAAAGTCAGCTTAAACTTCTCAGTCAAATTATCTCTTGGTACAAATTTACCCCCCTGGCTGCTGAGATATGTATTTACCTCTTGATCGGAAATTCCATAACTGAAACTTTTATTTTCAACCATCTGTATGTGTTCCTTGCTGCTTCTCTCCTGCCTTGCCCCTGGCCATGCTAACCACTGCCCTCCTCGATTTTTTCCAATGTTCAGTAAATTGGAAGAGCTCACTTCTGATGAAATGGGGGGTGAGAGTGGAGGATTGTGGACCAAAAAAAAAAAAATAGACTGACCTTGTTTCCCAAGATCATAGTCAATTACTCTGTGTTGGGTCTACACCACATCTGCACATACTATGAGCCCTTCCGTTGGAGATAATTTTCACTTGCGGAGCTGCTTCACTTCTACCTGTAGGAGCCTCATCTCCACCTCTCTACAGTGGAGAGGATTCCACTAGGCAAGTTGGAACTTAGGGACACAGTTCTTTCTGTGTTGTATCACAGCTGGGCTGTGGCATTCCCCTGCAGCCGGATGAAGCAATAGAGAAAGTGGAAAGATGAAGGGAAAAAAAGCCTGTACTGACAGTCAGCTCTGGCCTGTTACTGTGTAATCTTTGAGCCAGTCACTTCGCCTCTCTGGGAATGTTTCTTCTTCTCTAACATGAGGGCATCAAGGCTGTTCTTGCCCTGACATTCCATATTCTGTGTCTCTGCAGACCACCATCATGGCAGTGGAGTTTGACGGGGGCGTTGTGATGGGTTCTGATTCCCGAGTGTCTGCAGGGTGAGTAAAAGTGAAGATGTATGCATTTGGAAAGAAGCTAATGGCCTCAAATACACACTTTCCTTACCCATTCATGAAAAGACTGGCAAACTGGAGCCTTGGAGGAATGGAGTTGACCTTCCCCAAAAGCCACTATGATAAGCTATTTGGTGGGTGCTTGGGTCTCTGAATTTGTGGAGGAGGATCTGGGGTCTGAATGTGTATGTGACCTGTCCCAGTAGTGTACAGGGATGAGTAAAGGAATAGGGTCTGAGAGGGGGACAGGAGATAGATTTTTGAGGGTCTTCTTTCCATCTGTGCTTAGGGATCAAAAAGATGATTCTGTCAAGCAGATATCTGGTTTCTCATTTACCATATATTGAACTATTTTGTCTCTTCTCCCACTCCTAACCAATTTCCTCACATGCAAAATGAGTATATGGGGTTAGGTCAATATTACTGACATTATGTTCCATAGAACATAACTCTCTCAAGATTGTTAATAGCAAAGAAAATTGATGAGGCATATTTTTCTTACCTTAGCATTTTTTGCTTTGTTATAAAATCTAAGCCTGAAAAATAAGCCTAATTTTGATTAACATCTGCAGTGATTAATAATATCTGAGATGATTATTTGCCTCCTGCTTTAATCCAAGCATTAAACTTCATGCTATTCTCTTGTCAAAGAAATTTGAGAGACATTGAATGATCACCCTCAAAAATTCCTGAGTTCTGGTTGGGTGCAGTGGCTCACATCTATAATCTCAGCACTTTGGGATGCCGAGGTGGGCAGATATTTGAGGTCAGGAGTTTGAGACCAGCCTGGCCAACATGTTGGGACCTTGTCTCTACTGAAAATACAAACATTAGCTGGGCTTGGTGGTGGGTGCCTGTAATCCCAGCTATTCGGGAGGCTGAGGCAGGAGAATCACTTGAACCAGGGAGGCGAAGTTTGCAGTGAGCCCAAGATTGATCCACTGCACTCCAGCCTGGGTGACAGAGTGAGACTGTCTCAAAAAAAAAAAAAAAAAAGCAAACCTGAGTTTTAACTTGGTGACTGTTGACTCCCTCCTGACAGCGAGGCGGTGGTGAACCGAGTGTTTGACAAGCTGTCCCCGCTGCACGAGCACATCTACTGTGCACTCTCTGGTTCAGCTGCTGATGCCCAAGCCGTGGCCGACATGGCCGCCTACCAGCTGGAGCTCCATGGGTATGAAGCTCTGGAGTTCTGACTCCCCACCCACTAGAGCTCCCCCAACCTGCATGAATCCCTGTACAGTGTGCTGTTCCAGGAGCTGGACACTGGGAAATGGAAAAGTCTTGTTTCGGCTCTTGCTGGCACTTGAATCTGTCAGTTTCTGCATCTGTAAAGTGGAGATAATATAGCACCTCATGAGACGGTTATTTTGAGAACCACGTTCTATATGTGAACACAGTTTAAAAGCTGTAAATCACTATCCTGATATAAATAATCAGGAAGAAGGTGATATTGTGACCCACCATAATATCAGGCAGTTACCATACGAGAAATCAAGGTCGTTGGGATGGAAGTAACCTTATCTGCTTTTCCCCATAAGAGCAGGGTCCTTGCAGCCAAAAGAAAGTTATGTGGGTGGGGCTGAGCAAAAGAGTGAGCAATTGAAAGCTTCTTACCAGTTGGTGGTGTGGGACTCTGGTTCCCCTGTACATGTGGGAGGGAGGCTGCAGTTTGAGCTATTGCAGTTACAGTTTTCAGGGGTCGTTTAGCAGGGATGATGGTAACAGTATAGGAGAATGAGACTTAAAATTCTATCAACCTTTATTCCTAATATTTCCCTCAGGATAGAACTGGAGGAACCTCCACTTGTTTTGGCTGCTGCAAATGTGGTGAGAAATATCAGCTATAAATATCGAGAGGACTTGTCTGCACATCTCATGGTAGCTGGCTGGGACCAACGTGAAGGAGGTCAGGTGAGTTTCTCCCAAAGCACTCTCTCCTCTGGGCTTCCCCACTCTCCTGCAGAGGAAGATGGAAGTCCTATGTCATTCTAGCAATGAGTTCCAAGGACACTACCTCTGAAAGCATAGTACTTTGGGGATATGAGATACCAGGGCTTCATTGCAGGGTGCAGAGACCACTTAATGTCTCAGTGGGAAGGAAGGGCTTGATGATTCTTTAACCTGAGGATCCCTTTCCCAGGTATATGGAACCCTGGGAGGAATGCTGACTCGACAGCCTTTTGCCATTGGTGGCTCCGGCAGCACCTTTATCTATGGTTATGTGGATGCAGCATATAAGCCAGGCATGTCTCCCGAGGAGTGCAGGCGCTTCACCACAGACGGTAACCAGCCAAGTGGAAGGGTACCTGGGGAGGGCTTTGAAACATGGGAAGGAAGTAGATTATGAGGAACAGGAAGAGAAATACAGGGGTGGCCATTTAAGTTAATGCCGGGCCTGGTACACTTTTAAGAGTGAAAAGGGGCAGGACAAATGCAAAGCTCAATGGGGCTCTTGGGCAATACGGATAAACCAGGGCTGTTCTGAGTAAATCAAATGAGGATACACAGTCACTGTGAGAACCAGTGGTGTGCTAAGCACAGTGGCTCACACCTGTAATGCCAACAATTTGGGAGGCTGAGGCAGGAGGATTACTTGAGCCCAGGAGTTTGAGGCCAGCCTAGGCAAGATGGTGAAACCCTGTCTCCACAAAAAACAATAAAAAAAAGTAAAAAAAAAATGAACTGGGCATAGTGGTGCACACCTGTAGTCCCAGCTACTCAGGAGGCTGAGGTGGAAAGATCATCTGAGCCGGGGAGATCAAGGCTGTAGTGAGCGGTGATTGCACCACTGCGCTGCAGCCTAGGTGACAGAGAGAGACCCTGTCTGGAGAAAAAAAAAAAAAAAAAAGAACCAGTGGTGTGCTGAGGTGTGCTGAGGCTGGCTTGGGACCACTCATGAGAGCGGACTGTTAAATAGTCAAGGATTTGTGAACTGCTTAGCTATTTGTAACTTGCAATTCATCATAGCGGGAGCATTTACACCATGGACATCAGCAGATGCCACATATGGAAGCCTTTTTGTAAAAAAACTGATTTACCAGCACACCACTAAATATGCCTTCCTGGAAGATGAGTTTTGAGGTGAAAGTGGTAGTAGGCATATGGATGGAGGGGGAGTAAAAAGATTTTTGAAGCTAAGCCATCCTCTCTCTCCCTCTCTCCAACTTGAAACCCTCTGCAGCTATTGCTCTGGCCATGAGCCGGGATGGCTCAAGCGGGGGTGTCATCTACCTGGTCACTATTACAGCTGCCGGTGTGGACCATCGAGTCATCTTGGGCAATGAACTGCCAAAATTCTATGATGAGTGAACCTTCCCCAGACTTCTCTTTCTTATTTTGTAATAAACTCTCTAGGGCCAAAACCTGGTATGGTCATTGGGAAATGAGTGCTCAGGGAGATGGAGCTTAGGGGAGGTGGGTGCTTCCCTCCTAGATGTCAGCATACACTCTTTCTTCTTTTGTCCCAGGTCTAAAACATCTTTCCTAGAGAAAACAAAAGGGACTAAACTAGAAATATAAAGAGCCCTATACATGACAGGTGATCACGTACTGAATGATTTTGTAGTACAAACAATAAAAATTCTCATTCCGCATCATCATGCGGTCCATGATGATGAGGCCGCAAGTGAGGTGATGGGACTCTTTCCTTTAAGGCTAAGACTGACAGATAGGCAAGACACCTACACACATGAGAATTAGCTAAGACTATCAGCAAACTCGCATGTAAAAGAATTCCTTTCATAATGCATTCATTCATATTAAAGGGCAATACATGAAAAATGCTTAAATATTTTGGGGCACTTGTGAATTTCAAAGAATAATGACAATAACCAAAAGAAGCTACATTTGTGGCATTGGCTAAATGTTTTATAAATTTTATCTCTTAAAATTCAAACCAAAAAACCCCCTGTATTCACACCTGTAATCCCAGCACTTTGGGAGGTCAAGGCGGGAGGATTGCTTGAGCCCAGGAGTTAGTGACCAGCCTGGGCAACATAGTGAGAACCCCATCTCTACAAAAAAATTTAAAAATTAGTCGGGTGCGGTGGTGCATGCCTGTAGTCCCAGCTGCCTGGGAGGCTGAGTGGGAGGATCGCTTAGGCCTGGGAGTTTGAGGCTACAGTGAGCTGTGATTGCGCCACTGCACTCTAGTGTGGGTGACAGAGAAAGACCCTATCTTAAGAAAAAAAAAAGAAAAGAAAAAGAAAAAACAAACAAAAAAAAACACCCAACCCTATATAGGTAGTATTATTACTTCTATAGGACACATAGAGGTTTGGAAAGATTAAATCACTTGACCAAGGTCACAAAATAAGTTCTGAGGCTGGGATCTGGGATTCAGTCTTATTATATGCCCTTCCTCTACCACTCCCTAAAACTTCTCATTCCCTCAATCCCCATATATCATCTTAAAATCTGCAATAAATAGCCCCATACATTCGTTGGCACTTAGGAAACTGTTACCAGATGGCTGAGTAACTGTATTAAAACAAATTTAATTCTGCTTCTATCTTTGCCTTGCACTTCCTGAGTGACAGGAGTGAACTCTCATATCCTTTTCTGTCAAAAGATGGTGCTGAATGATTTCTAAGGTAGTTTACAGTTCCAACATTCAATGCCATTTTGCTAACAAGTGGGCAGTCAACAGGCATATTCAACAGAAATACTAGTAGGATCTCAGGCTAAACATACGAATTCAAAACTCTAAAACAATCACATCCCCCTGGAGTGTAAAGAAAAAAATCTAAAATTACAAATGCCTGGAGTTGTTTCTAGCCATGATATTTAACTTATTTGAGATTTTAAATAGCCCATTTTTCCCACTGATCACAAGTAGAAATTCTGGGCAGTATACAAAAAGCAAGTACTCAAGGACTCCAAAAAGTAAACAAAAGCAGGTGGATTGTGAAGAGGGTCAAAACTGGGAGAGGGGCCCCTCCTGGGGAGTGGGTTTTCAATGTTTTCCCCTTTTTTCCTCCCAGCTCTGCCCTGACGTCAGGCCTCAGGTGCAGAGCTGCACTGCGTGGTAGCACAAGCCCTGAGTTAACAAGAGAAATACCGGCTTTCTGGCCAGAGGAATGAAGAAAAAGGGCCCCTGCAGGCAGGAATGTGTAGGGGAATCTCCAAACTGAGAGTACAGGCGGAAATTCCCTAATTCTGAGTCTGAACCCTCAGGAGTACCAGGTTACCCCTGAGCTGCACATGCGTGTGACATGCCTTAAGGGCACAGCAAAGACTTTGAGAACTGAATGAAGATTAGATCTTTTAAAATTAGAAGACTTCGGCCAGGCGCGGTGGCTCATGCCTGTAATTCCAGCACTTTGGGAGGCCAAGGCGGGTGGTTCACCTGAGGTCAGGAGTTCGTGACCAGTCTGGCCAACATGGTGAAACCTCATCTCTACTTAAAATACAAAAATTAGCTGGGCGTGGTGCCTGTAATCCCAGCTACTCGGGAGGCTGAGGCAGGGAGAATCGCTTGAACCCGGGAGGCAAAGGTGGCAGTGAGCCAAGATTGCGCCATTGCACTCCACCTGGGCGACAAGAGAGAAATTCCATCTCAAAAAAAAAAAAAAAAAAAAAAATTAGAAGACTTCATTTTTCTGTATTGGCCAAATAACTGTTCTAATGCCCTTCATTCCAATAAAAGGTTTGTAGCAGCTTACAGAGATAATTTAAAACAATTTTTAAAAGAAGAAAACAACACTGGGTCAAAGAGAAAATATGGTTAAGAAAAGTAAGTGAAGCCAAGGAGTGAAACTAATGGAAACTAATGGACAACGTGAATATCTTAAAAAAAAAAAAAGTGGTGCGCTGTCTTATACTGGCTAGCAAGAGCAGATTGCAAAGTATTCAGGATTTTTGAAGACAGTTGTTAACTATTGGTAACTTGATATTGACCACTATGGAAGTATTTATACTATAGAAATCAGCAATGCTACAAGTCAGAAGCATTGTTTTTCTTCAGAGAGCCGGTTTAACAGGACACATATTTATCAGCCAACTATAAATAGATAAAAAATAATTGGCTCCGGGCCATAGGATAGTGAAAGCAAAGAAGGAAATAAAATGAGGTACAAGATTCATAAAATTCATTTTTTAAAAGTTGCCAGAAAACCAAAAATTATATATAATAGTTCAAGCCACACAGAACATTTACTCAAATAGGACATGCATCATTCCATAAAGGTAACGCCAATAAATTCCAGAGTATCGGTATCTTAGAAACTATCTATATTCTAGGCCAGGAGCAGTGGCTCACGCCTGTAATCCCAACATTTTGGGAGGTCAAGGTGGGCAGATCCCTAGAGCCCAGGAGTTTGAGACCAGCCTGGGCAACATGGCAAAACCCCGTCTCTACAAAAAATTTAGCTGGATGGGGTGCACCTGTAATCCCAACTAGTCAGAAGGCTAGATGGGAGGATCGCTTGAACCCAGGAGGCAGAGGTTGCAGTGAGCTGAGATTGTGCCACTGCCCTCCAGCCTGGGCAACAGAGTAAGACACTGTCTTAAAAAAAAAAAAAAAAAAGAAAGAAAGAAAGAAAGAAAGAAACTATATTCTGCAACCATACTGTAATAAAATTAGAACTTGATAACTAAAATATACTTAAAATTGTAAGTGAACAAATATATTTATCAGTAACATGGATTTAAAAGGCAGTCGTGGATGGGAGCATCGCTGGAGTCCAGAAGATGGAGGCTGCAGTGAGGCATGATTGCGTCACTGCACTCCAGCCTCAGCAATAGAGTGGGACCCTGTGTCAAATAAATAAACAGCAGTTATAAAGAAAATTAACTCTTTTAGAACCAGGTGTTAAAAATGTTACACATAAAATATACATATAAAATAATATTATAATTTCAAATACATTTATTAGAACAAGAAAAGTTAAAATAAAGGACCTAAAAATTCTACTCAAAAATTTGGAAAAAGAGAAGTTGAGCAAACCTAAAGAAATACGAAGAAAAGGAGTTATAAAGATAAGAATAGAAAGCAATGAAACAGAAATAGAGAACAAAAAACTAGGTAGTGAAAATTAACATACTTTTGATTCCAAAAGCTGCTTACTTAAAAATATTTGTAAGATATTCAGAGTTACAACAAGGCCGATTATGGATAAAGGGAGAAAAAATGAATAAACAAATACATAATGAAAAAGGGGGAACAGCTACAGATATGACACAGATATAAAGCATAGAGTGTTATGAACAAGTATATGCTAATAAATTTGAAAACCTAGGTGAGATATGCAAATTCCTAGAAACATTTAATCTATCAAAATTAGCACAAAAAGAAATACAAAACTTGACTATACCAATGAGTATTAAAGCAATTTTTAAAGTTATCAATGGCATCTAATAAAAAAATATATTTTTGAAAATGCCCAGATGGTTTCACAGATGAGTTCTATCAAACATTCAAGGAACATGAAACTTCTATATTATATACTTTTTCCAGAAAATAGAAAAAAACTAAACCTGATTAGCTAATTTTATCAGCCGAGTGTAATCTTGACTCCAAATTGAGTTGTGGAAAACTCAAGGAAAAAAAATAATAGACCCATTTCACCTTGAACACAGATGGGAGAAAAAAATAATTATTTATGAACCGAATTCAACAATATTACAAATAATAATACTGGGAGGCCGAGGTGGGAGGATCGCCTGAGGCCAGGAGTTCAAGACCAGCATTGTCAACATACTGAGATCCTGTCTCTACAAAAAATTAAAAAATTAGCCAGGTGTGGTGGTGAGCACCTGTAGTCTCAGCTACTAGGGAGGCTGAGGCAGGAAGATCATTTGAGCCCAGGAGTTTGAGGCTGCAGTAAGCTATGATTGCACCACTGCATTTCGGCCTGTGCAACAGAGCAAGGCCCTGTCTCTAAAAATATGTATAATAATAACAATAATAATAATGATTATGCTAATAATGATACATCAAGATCAAATAGGGAATCCTTGGAATACTAGGGTGGTTCAATATAATAAAACATATTGTTGCTATAATTTACCATATTCATAGAAAAGTCATTTCCTTTGCTCAGTCTATTAATAAAAGACATTTGGTAAAGTATATCCATTTGTGATTTTTGAAAAACAGTTAAGGAAGCAGGAATCAAAACTTTCCTATTTTGGCAAAGGTTATAATCCAAAAAATCTGTAACCACTAGTATACATAACGGAAAAACCTTGGGTATCCAAGACAAGAATGTTCACTATAATTACTAGCTTATCATAGCACTAAAGCCTATGGGCAACATAACAAGACCCCATTTACCAAAAATAAATTTAAAACATTTTAATTAGCTGGCATGGTGGCATGCACCTGTAGTCCTACCTACTTGGGAGGCCAAGGCAGGAAGATTGCTTGAGCCCAGGAGTTTGAGCTTATTGTGAGCTGTGATCACACCACTGCACTCCAGCCTGGGTGACAAAGGAAGACCGTATTTCTAAAAAATAAAAAATACAAATACAACTACAAACTAGCACTAGACCAACAGTGACTATGTACCATGAACTGAGGAATATTATTAATTCCACCATTTGCATCTGAGGTTAACAATATGTCAATGACTTAAATAACATCATATCTCTGAGAGTAATTTCTCCTATATTTCCATGACAAATGTTAGATAATTTTCCATTTTTTCCATTCAACAAAATAAACAGGAAATATAATTAAAGAGTTCAATTGAGGATTGGGATTTAGAAAGGAAGGCAGGAATTAAGAATAATCCTTAGTTCTCTTCCTAATTTGCACCTCTCTCACTGATACATATGTATTATTTTCTTTTTATGTCTTTTAGAGTCTAATAAACATGTTTTATATTATATAACAAACTAGAATATATGGATTATCTTTGGTCTTCCTTACCAAGTTCTTAACTCTGCTGGCTCTGGGGCACTGGACATACCATGTAAGAAGAAAAATGTTTTAACTCCATTGAACTTATTCAGAAGCATCGGAAATTGGTTCAGCAATATTCAACTTTGCCCAGCAATGTTTATGAAAGTTTCATATATAGTATAGTATAAGTATGTGTAATACAGAATTTATGTTCTCAAAAATGAAGAGATAAAGTATGGAGATTCTAAACTCTGTTGACATAGAAGAGGGTGGATTTCTCGAAGAAACAGCCTTCTATAGAAAGTGGCTTGTATGAGTCGGGATTCTCCAGAGAAGCAGAACCAATAGGATGTTGGCAGAGAGAGATTTATTTTAAGTAATTGGCTCATACTACTGTGGAAGCTGGCACGGTCGAAATCTGCAGGTAGGCTGGAGACCCGGGAAGAGCTGATGTTGCGGCTTGAGTCTGAAGGTGGTCCAGAGGCAGAATTCCCTCTTCCTTGGAGGACATCAGTCTTTGCCCCTAAGACCTTCAACTGATTGGAAGGGCCACTTACATTATGGAGGGTAATCTGCTTTACCCAAAATCTATTGATTTAAATGTAAATCTCATCTAAAAAATACCTTCACTGCAATATCTAGACTGGTATTCAAATGTCTAGAAACCATAGCCTAGCCAAGTTAACACATAAAATTAACTATCACTTGGCTCAAGGTGAAACTTCCAGATCAATGTGGCAGGAGTGTTGAGGAAGGAAGTGAACTCGGTTCTAACCAAGTAGGACAGCCAAATCATCACTGAAGTGTGGCACTGGCCTTTCGCCAAGGTAACATGTGGCAAGGTTTTAGGTTAGGATAGGTACCAGGCAAAAGCTGGGTGACTCGATGGAGGCTTTTGTGCCAACCTTCAGAGACTGGCTGCGTCAGACTGCCCTCAAGAGCATACAAAGGAAAAAAGACAAATTAAAAGCCTTTAATCCAAACTCAAGACATGAATGAAAAACTGTAAATGCCTCTATAGCAGTTTTAAAGGCTATCTTTTCTCCTGCAACCCAGCACAGATATGGCTGAGGGTCAAGCCCGGGGGCTTATGATAAAGGTTATGAAGTTGTAGAAATGTTTGTTGCATCATCCAACAGCAGCTGTTGTGATAAGGCAAGACCCCTGGTTGGGATAGACCGGACCCTGAGATATGAAATAGGGACATATGAGCAGACACAGAGAAGTCTGAGTGAGAACTATGAATCACCGCACCCCCTGAGGGTCCTTGCTGGAAGAAGCAGACTCACCGTATTAGTTACCTATTGCCATGTAATGAATGACACCCGCTTAAAATAACAGACATTTACTATAAGGTGTTACTGGGACAATGGGGGATTTTTTAATATGGATTGTGTGTTTGATAATATGGTATCAATTTTAAGTATCTTGGGGGTGATGACAGTATTAGGGTTTTGCAGGAGAAATGTCCTTATTCTTAAATTATACATGACAAAATATTTAGGGGTCAAGTGGCATAATTTCCACAGATTACTCTCAAATTGTTTAACAAAATGGTTCTTCAACAGTAAATGGATAAACAAAACGTAGTCTATTCGTGCAACACAGTACTATGTAAACAATGAAACTTCATCAACTACTGAAAATGTAACAACATGGACGAATCTCATAGAAACAATATTAAGTGAAGAAGCCAGACTTGCAGAAATACATACTGTATGTTTCCATTATCTATTGCTGGGCAGCACACCAACTCCAAACTTAATGGCTTAAAACAAAAATAATCATTTTATTATCTCTCATGAAACTGTGAATTACTGGACTTTAAGAGCCACTGATGTAGTCCATGAACCAAAACACATATTCACGGCAGCCACTCCACCCAGCACCTCACACCTGTGATGTTTACTGGCTGCCCATGGGATTTGAACACCTTTAGAGTACTGTGAAATTTCCCCTACCTTTTGAGTCCTGCCTCCCTAAAGTGGAAACCAGAAAGCTCACTTCCCCTAGCCTTCTTTGAAGCTAGAGCACCTAAGTTCCACCAATTAAATTCATCCACCTAAGACTTCAGTTACAAAGGGGCCACAGGAGGAACCAGGGTGTGGGGGTTGCAGAGCACCTTTTACTGTATTTATTTCTCTGGCAAAGGTGACAGAAGAAGCAACTGTCTTTTGGGGAAGCGGTGGGTTTTTTCCTTTTTTTTTTTTTTTTTTTAAGTGAAGTTCCTGAAACAGAAGTGGTTTAGGAGGTGTCTTCAGTGGTGGCTGCAGCAACCTCCAGGTCCTAACAACAGAACCAACAGCAGCGTCTAGAAGCCATGGGGCAGCAGCAGTGGTGTGGCTCATCAGACCTGCTCTCTGCGTGGTCTGACCCTGTACATACATGTGCCTCTCATCCGTAGTTCCAGCATTTCCTCTCTAAAGTCTAGTTCTGAGAGAAATTTCTTTGGTAGACTTTTCAAAGTTTTATCAAACTCAAAGAGGGAACCAGCAAGAATACAAGAGCCTTGATCCAAAGAGTATTTGAAAAACAGAGCTGTATCTCTCTGTGAGGAAATAATTTCTAGGCTAGAGATTCAAAATGGCTAACGTGCTAGAGGGCAATAAAATCATAACCTTGGTGTTATCTTCTTTACCGGAGAAAAAGAGAAAGCCAGCATCCCTTATCAGCTCTCTGCTGATTAACCTCTAATCGCACAGGGCTGGCCGGGTTCGTCTTAGGCAAATTACAATCCCTGAAACACTCTGGTTTTGATAAGGCAGAATTATGAGCAAAGGTTCAAGTGTGATATAAAATAATCAAGCACGTACAATTTTGCCTTATTTATAATTTTGAAACACTTTTCCTACACAATTTCTGACCTTAAGGGGCAGAATTAACCAAATAAAACTTTTCAGAAATGCTCTAATTCAGTTCCACTCATTTTATCGTCTCTATTTGGCCTGTTTTAGGGCTAAACCCAGAAGCAAAATCTTCTTCAAAATGAATGTATTGACAGTCACCATGCCAGACTTGGAGTACGAACAAGAGCATCCTTTTACCCTTACTGAAACCTATGTGGTCACTAAAACATATATCAATAATATTTTTAACCTGGACAAAATTAATCTAGAAAATTGAGCTACTGTTTTTTATTTGTCAGCTTTTACCACATTGTGGGTTTGAGACACAGGTAGTTCTTTTGATAGTACAGCGTTAATTTAAAATATAAAAATCATGCCAAACACATCTAATTACTTTTAGCTTCCTTCAACAGTAGGCGGAGGAAGGTGAAAAATTAAGCCTTTTGCGCCACCTAGTGGCCAAATGGGTAGTGGCTGTCTAGTGAGAAAAAACAAAGATTTGGGGGCGTGAAAAATAGCTTGACAGTGTTAGTATTCTGAATTCAGGGTATGAGGTTGGAAGAAGGCAACAACAAAAAAGAATTTTCAGAGAAACTGGTCACTTAAGTGCATAGGTACCTGAGAGTGAGCAATTGTTATAACTTTGATATCTCAATAACCAGAGTGACAATAAAACATTTGAAAATAAACATAAAGAAGGTAACAATTATAAGAAACTTTAGGTGTTTCAGAAGCAAATGGTTTTTTGTTGTTGTTTGTTTTTAAAATAATTTAAAAACTTGATGCTATCAGCACAAAGCACTAAAAGTTATCAAGGTATTAAGTGAGAGCATTCTGATAAGAAACCACCGCTAGCTGGGCAGATTATGCTAAAGGGAAAGAAAAAGTTTTTTCTCTGTCTTTAAGTGTAGAGTGTATATTCCAAGATCAATTTTAAATTACAAATCCTCTCCTTTTTTGCTTATTAATTCGAATTCATCATTACGTGTGTGTTTTACAGAAATACATACATAGTTGAATGACAATTTTGTTTAAAACTTTCCACTTTAGTTTTAAAATGTAGTTAATCTTATCAATACAATACATGAATGTATATCCACACTAAGTTTACCACCTTAATTTGAGTTTTGCAAAAATTAAATATGGACAAAGGTATATATATAGAAAGCCACTTAGTGACCCAATAATCTTTCTCTCTATGATACACTTAAGAATTTTTTAGACAATAAAAAGTCACTTATTAACTAGCTCAGTGAAAATTAGTCCAAAGTAACAAAATCATTTGAGGCTGCAAAACAACAATATCACTATTGATATTAGGAGTTTTTCAAAGAGGTAAAATTCTAAAATTTTTACATAGAGTGCAAGCTAAGTAGCTAAGTCAAATGACTTGCAATATTTTTCTGAAATTCACAAGAGCCAATAGTTAAAAAAAAGCATCTCATAACATTTAATTAAAAATATACATTTTCATTTAAGTTTGCTTCCCACAAACCACTGACACACTCATTGACACAGTGAATGAGTCTAGTGACAAGAAACAAATCCTTTTTGTTAGGTCACTTCTAACACTCTGCCTCCAACAAAATAAAGAGGACCTATTCAAGCTGTCAGCTATTATATCATTTAAAGTAATTTTGGGAAGGAGGCCAGGCAGGAGGATCGCTTGAGGCCAGGAGTTCAAGACCAGCCCTGGGCAACATAATGAGACCCTGTCTCTATGAATAATAATAATAAAATTAGTCAGGCATAGTTCGATGTGTCATAGTCCTAGATACTCTGAAGGCTGAGGCAGGAGGATCACTTGAGCCCAGGAGTTCGAGGTTACAGTGAGCTATGATCGCACCACTACACTCCATCTTGGGTAATGGGGCCAGCCAAACACCACAGAAAAAACTGCGACTCCACCCCCACCAGCTAAGGTCAAATGAGGAGCCTAGACTTTCACCCTCACCAGGCTGTCATAAGGAACCCAACACTTCAACACACACATGCCCACACACCAGGATGGTGTCAGAGAAAGTGAATAGGGAGTCAGGATGGTCATGCCCTCTTGGTGAAAATGTACTCCTTTCCCCAAGCCCCTGAAATGTCAATGGAAACCTAGACTTCCATTCCTCACCCAACAGTAATGAAGCATCTCTTCCCCTCTCCTCTAGGGTGATGTCAGACAATGCCTAATGGAGAGTCAGGATTTTCATCACCACCCAGAGTTAATCCAGCAACCACTCCCTGATACCTACCACTCACTCCTCCACTCCACTGTCCCATCTTGGTGTCAATAAAGGTCATGTGAGGGATAGTAAGTGGCACTCCTCTCCCAACCAACCAGGGAGGTATTAGTGGGCACCTAATAGGGAGCCAGAATTTCTGTCCCCACTCATAATAATGGGGACCTATCTGAGGTGTCAATGAAGGCAGAGTGAGAAGCCTGGACTCCTACCCCTACCTGGCGTCATGAAGCTCACCTGCCTACCTGCTGGAGAGGTGTTAAAAGAAGCCAGCTAAAACAGTTTAAATAAGACCGATAGCCTTATAACATAATGCCTGAAATGTCCAAGTTTCAACTGGAAATTATTTGTCATATCAGGAACCAGGAATATCTCAAATTGAATTTTTAAAAGACAATAAAATAGATGCCAAAACGGAAAGAAAAGCCTGATGAAGATTTTAAAGCCACCATTATTAAAATGCTTTGATGAGCAATTAACACTTAAAAGAATGAAAAAAATAGGATGTCCAGTTCAGTGGTTTAAAAAAAGAAAGAAGAAGAAAAGAGCAGAAAAGAAAAAAATAGGATGTTTCAGCATAAAAATAGGATATATACGGAAGAAAACGTGGAAATTTTAGAACTGAAAAGTGCAATAGCCAAAATAAAAAGCACAGTAAATAAGCTCAGCAGCAGAAGGAGAGAACAGAGGAAAGAATTAGCTACCTTGAAGACACAGCAATAGCAATCACTCAATCTGAACAAAAGAAAGAAAGAAAATACACTGGAAAAAATGGACAAAGCCTCAGGGACCCATGGGGCTATAACAAAAGATTTAATGTTCATGTACTCAGAGTCCCAAAATGAGAGGAAAAAGAGAGTGAAGCTGAAAAAAATTATCAAATAAATATGGTTGAAAACTTCCCAAATTTGGCAGAAGACATAAACCTAGTGATTTAAGAAGGTGAGTGAACCCCAAATAGGACAAACCCAAAGAAAGCCACACCAAAATCATAGTAATTAACTAAAAATTAAAGACAAAAAGAATCTTGAAAGCAGTGAGATAAATGACATCTAACAGGTGGAAAAAATGACAGAGCAAAATTTTCATCAGAAACTGTGTAAGCCCGAAGGAGGTCACCACCTTTTTCCAGTGCTGAAAGGAAAAAAAAATATCAACTTAGAACACTATATCAGCAAAAATATCCAGGGAAATTAAGACATACAGAGATGAGGGAAAACTAACAGAATTTGTCACTAACAGGTCTACCCTAAAAAAACAAAAAGTTAAATTGAGGACAGTTGGAACATCAGGAAGGAAGAAAGAACATGGCAAGAAAAAATATGGGTTAAAAAATGGACTTTACTTCTTCTCTTGAGTTATTTAAATTATAGGATTGAAGAAAAACGTATAATACTGTATCATATGGTTATAAATGTATATAGAGAAAATATTACAGGCAATTATAAATGAGGGAGGGTAAACAAAGAGAGAAGAAATTTCTACACATCACTCAGACTGGTAATTAATGACAATAAATAAGTTACATAAATATAATGTAATACCTAGAACAACCACTAAAAGAGCTATCCAAAGAGGTACACACACATACACACACACAGCTATAGATAAATTAAAATGGAATTTTAAAATTATTTAGGAAGCAATGAAAAAGAAAACAAAGAAATGAAAAACAGAGAGAACAAACAGAAAACAAAAAATAAAATGTCAGACTTAAGCCTGGACATAACAATATTATAGGAAATATAAATCGCCTAAATACATCAATTTTAAGAGACAGAGCTTGGCAGAATAGATTTAAAAATATGACTCTGTCGGGTGCGGTGGCTCACGCCTGTAATCCCAACACTTTGGGAGGCCAAGGCAGGTGGATCACAAGGTCAGGAGATGACCATCCTGGCTAACATGGTGAAACTCCATCTTTACTAAAGGTACAAAAATTAGCCAGCTGTGGTGGCACAAGCCTGTAGCCCCAGCTACTCGGGAGGCTGAAGCAGGAGAATCTCTTGAACCCGGGAGGTGGAGGTTGCAGTGAGCTGAGATCACACCACTTCACACCGCTGCACTCCAGCCTGGGCAACAGAGCGAGACTCCGTCTCAAAAAAAAAAAAAAAAGACTCAATTATTTGCTGTTTATGATAAACTCACTTCAAATATAGTGATATAGGCGGTTTATAAGTTAAAGGATAGAAAAACATATATCAGGCAAAAAATAATAAAGGGAGGCTATATTAATATCAAATAAACTTAGAACAAAGAAAATTACTAGAAATGGATAGGAACACTATGTAATAATAAAAGGGTAAATCTACCAAAAAGACATAGCAATCTTAAATATGTATGCACCAAACAACAGGGCTGCAAATTATGTAAAGCAAAAACTGATAGAACTGAAAAGAAAATAGGCAAGTCAACAATGATAGTTGAAGACTTCAGTAGTTTTCTCTCAATAATTGATTAAACAAATAGACAAAAATTGAGAAAAAACATAGAAGAATAAACAACATCAAACCATAAGATCTAATCAACATTTATAGAACACACCACCCAACAACAGAAGATACATTATTTTCTTTTTCGTTGCTTTTAGTAGATTCCACAAGATTTTCTTTTTTCTTTTTTCTTTTTTTTCCTTTTATTTTAAGTTCAGGGGTACATGTGCAGGTCTGTTACATAGGTAAACAGTGTCATGGAGGTTTGTTGTGCAGATTATTTCATCATCCAGGAATTAAGTCTAGTACCCATTAGCTATTTTTCCTGACCCTCTGGCTCCTCCCAACCTCCACCCTCCAATAGGCCCCAGTATGTGTTTTTCCTCTCTGTGTCCATGTGTCCATCATTTAGCCCCCACTTATGAGAACATGCAGTATTTGGTTTTCTGTACCTGCAATAGTTTGCTAAGGATAATGGCCTCCAGCTCCATCCATGTCCCTGCAAAAGACGTGATCTCATTATTTTTATGGCTGCATAGTATTCCATGGCAGAATACACTTTTTTTTTTTTTTTTTTTTTGAGATGGAGTTTCACTCTTATTGCCCACACTGGAGTGCAATGGCAGAATCTCGGCTCATTGCAACCTCTGCCTCCCAGGTTCAAGCAATTCTCCTGCCTCAGCCTCCTGAGTAGCTGAGATTACAGGCACACACCACCATGCCTGGCTAATTATTTATTTATTTATTTATTTATTTATTTATTTATTTATTTTTTGTATAGATGAGGTTTCACCATGTTGATCAGGCTGGTCTCAAACTCCTGACCTCAGGTGATCCACCCACCTCAGCCTCCCAAAGTGCTGGGATTGCAGGCATGAGCCACTGCACCCAGCCAGAATAACATTTTTTTAAGTGCCCACAGAATATATGCCAAGATAGACCATATCTAAGATAACAAAAGACCAAAAAATTTTTTAAATAAAATCATAAAGAAAGTGTTCTCCTACCACAATGGAACCAAACCAGAAATCAACAACAGGAAAATATCTAAACATTTGGAGACAAAACAACACACTTAGAAATACATGGGTCAAGGAGGAAGTCTCAAGGAAATTTTTTAAAAATACACACAATAAACACAACTAAACAAAAATGAAAATATGCCATATCAGAATTTGTGAGATACAGTTATAGTAGTTATAAGAGGTAAATTTAAGTTCCAGGATACATGTGCAGGATGTGCAGGTTTGTTACATAGGTAAACATGTGCCATGGTGGTTTGCTGCACATATCAACCCATCACCTAGGTATTAAGACAAGCATGCATTAGCTATTTTTCCTGATGCTCTCCCTCCCTCCAACCTCACCCCAGACAGACCCCAGTGTGTGTTTTTCCCCTCCCTGTGTCCTTGTGTTCTCATTGTTCAGCTCCCACTGATAAGTGAGAACATGTGGTGTTTGGTTTTCTGTTCCTGCATTAGTTTGATGAGGATAATGGCTTCCAGCTTCATCCATGTCTCTGCAAATAACAGGATCTCATTCCTTTTTATGGCTGTATAGTATTCCATGGTGCATATGTACATTTTCCTTATCCAGTCTGTCATTGATGGGCAGTTGGGTTGATTCCATGTCTTTGCTATTGTGAATAGTACTGCAATGAACATACAAGTGCATGTATCTTTATAACAGAATGATTTGTATTCCTTTGGGTATATACTCAGTAATGGGATTGCTGGGTCAAATGGTATTTCTGGTTCTAGATCTTTGAGGAATTGCCACACTGTCTTCCACAATGGTTGAACTAATTTACATTCCATCAACAATGTAAAAGCATTTCTATTTCTCCGCAACCTTGTCAGCATCTGTTGTTTCTTGAGTTTTAATAATCGCCATTCTGACTGGCGTGAGATGGCATTTCATTGTGGTTTTGATTTGCATTTGAGAAGTAAATTTAAAGCACTAACTGCATACATTGGAAAAGAGGAAAAGTCTCAAACCAATAATCTAAACTCTCACCTCAAGAATCTAGTAAAAGAATAACAAAATAAAAAGCAAGCAGAACAATGAAACTGAAAACAGAAAAACAAAAGCAAAAAAAAAATCAATGAAGCAAAGAGCTGGTTCTTTGAAAGATTAATAAAATTGGCAAACCACTAGCAAGACTCAGAAAAAAAGACGACAGAAGATAGAAGCTACCAACATCAGAAATGAAATGGGATATCATCAAAGATTCTACAGACATCAAAAGGATAACAAAAGAATACTATGAACAATTCTACACACATAAATTTGACACTTAAATTAAATGGATCATTTTCTCAAAAAATATAAAGTGCCACAACTCACTAAATATAAAATAATTCAAAAATGTCTACACCTATTGAGGAAATTGAATTCATAATTTAAAAACTCACAAAAGGAAATATTTAGGAACAAATAGTTTCAATGAAGAATTCTACCAAAGATTTAAAGAAGAATTAACACCAATTAATCTCTTCCAGAAAATAGAAGCAGAGGAAGCATTTCCCAGTTTATTTTATAAAGCTAGAATTACCTCAATACCAAAACCAAACAATGACAATGGGAAGAAAAGAAAACTGTAGACTAATATTCCTCATGATGCAGCAATCTTTAACAAAATATTAGCAAGTGGAATTTACCAACATATAAAAAGAATTATGTACAATGACCACGTGAGAGTTATCCCAGGGATGCAAAGCTGGTTGGATATTCACAATTAATTAATGTAATCCATCATATTATAGGCTGAAGAGGAAAATTTACTTGTTCATATCAATTGATGAAGAAAAAGTATTTAACCCACTTTAACACCCATTCATTATTTTTTTTTAATCTCAGAAATATAGGAGTAGAGTAGATCTTTCTTTACTTGATAAAGATCGTCTACAAAAATCCTATGGTGAACATACTTGATTCTGAAAGACTGAATAGTTTCTACCTAAAATCAGGAACAAGGCAAGAATGTCCACTCTCACCACTCTTATTCACAGTGTTGGAAGTTCTAGACAGTGCAATAGGCATGAAAAAGGAGATTAAAGGCATACAGATTGTGAAGTAAGAAATAAACAGCTCCCATTTGTAAGTGACATGATTGTCTATGTAGAAAATCACAAGGAAGCTACAGAAAAACTTCTAGATATGTGATTTCAGCAAATTAACAGAATACAGGATAAACCAGTATCAATTGTATTTCTACATACAATGAACAAGTGATACATATATATATATATATATATATATTTTTTTTTTTTTTTTTTTTTGAGACGGAGTCTCGCTCTGTCGCCCAGGCTGGAGTGCAGTGGCACGATCTCGGCTCACCACAAGCTCCGCCTCCCGGGTTCACGCCATTCTCCTGCCTCAGCCTCCGGAGTAGCTGGGACTACAGACGCCTACCACCATGCCCGGCTAATTTTTTGTATTTTTAGTAGAGACGGGGTTTCACCGTGTTAGCCAGGATGGTCTCGATCTCCTGACCTTGTGATCCGCCCACCTTGGCCTCCCAAAGTGCTGGGATTACAGGCGTGAGCCACCGCGCCTGGCGCGGTAAATTGAGTATTATTTACAATTACTCAAATACATGAAACAGTTATGTGTAAATCTAACAAAACATGCAAGACTTGCAAGCTAAAAACTATGTAATGCTGGTGAACGATATCAAAGAAGATCTATTCAGTCTCTATCTATGTGGAGAGAAATACTGTTCATGGATTGGAAGATTCAATATAGTAAATATGTCAATTCTCCCCAAACCAATATACAAGTTTAACACAATTCCAATCAAAATCTTTGCAAGATTTGTTAATTATAGGTAGGATTACTCTAAAATTTACAAGGAAAGGCAAAGGGACTAGAATATCTAAAATATTCTTTTTTCATATTATTATATTTTATTGTAGTATGTGTAGTGTATACTAACTTAAAGGGAAAAAATGTAAACAAAATGAAAGACATGGGGAAAATGGCATCTTGCTTTAATCTTCAACTTAAAGTTACCCTTAACAATTCATTTATACCATTATGCCAAATTGTAGTCATCCCTGCAGAATTTTAGACAAATGAAAATGGACAAGGTAACACCAAAGAGATTAAGCACAGAAAGTGATATTGATTAAAAAGTTGAAAGTAAAATCTACCTTGGCTAGAACTGAACATTCAGATCCATCTCTAGAGGAAAATCTAACATGAATCATATGGTTCCTATTTTGACTAGTTCATAGCATATCAATTAGCAACTTATGACTTGAAAATACTTTTTCTCAGCTGCATTTGACTACCTAAAATCCTACCGAGCACGCTGTTTGGCATGTCTTACTCCTCTGAAATCATCATCTACTTTCTAAAAACCAGAAAATTAGTTTGCTTGTGATTTAAAATTCAAAAAAGTTTGTAGAAAACACAAAAAGAATCAACTATTTAAAGTCTCATCCTTTTCTTCTCTCTAAAACAGCTACTTCTACTAAAAGAAGAGTATGTGGATACTTTCTAAGAACTCAAAAACGAGAAAACCAAAATCAGAGGGTGCATGAATATATGTGCACAAGTATGTACAGATTTAATCTCTATATTCCCTAAAACATATTTAAACAGATAATCCCAGCATTCTAAATTCAGAAAGCAAAAATAAACAGTTTTGTTTCTAAATCAGTGGTATTACTAGCTGAAATGTTTAGTAGAATACTGCACCTATAGTTCAGCAGTACTTTGATTATGTACCATTTAAGAAATCAAAATAATAAGCACATTCTTCTAACAGCAAAGAATTCTCCCACTTTTTATTTTGACATACTGATATTTCCATAAACTTGCAAGTGGAAAATAAGCTGTTCAATAAAAGCCTACTTACATATATAATATACAGAAATTATTTTAGAAGTCTGTTCATATAACAGATTATTTTGGCACTAACAAAAATTGTATACAATCCATCAGTTGTATGGCTAGAAATGAAACCATCACTAAACCAAGACACACAGGGCTTTCCTGCACTTAGTTTCAGGAAAAAGTTCCAAGTAATTCTTACTGTGTTAGAAGAATAAAGTACATTTGTCATAGTATACATTATCATATTCCCTTAAAGCAGGGACTAAAGTTTTTAAATTAAACAATGTCCATGATTACTTCTGTCTGTACATTCAGGAATAATCATATCACTGGTTACATACAATTCTCTCCTCATGCAAAAAAAAAAAAAAAAAAAAACCTGTTGTTTTCTTAAGTCTAATTAAGCCAAACAAACTAATAATAGCAATTTAATTAGCAAGCTATAAATCAGAGAGGTATAAAAATTCAGCAGTTAAACTGTATTTCCCACCTATAGTACTGCTGCTACTCAACCATTTTCTTCATGTATTAGAAGAATTAATAGGCATTGATGGTCAAAATAAGAATTTCAATATTGCAGCAAATGACAGAAGAGTGAGCGAAAGAGTTCCTAATGTGTGACAGTCTTAATGATTCTTTAAAAGGTAAAGGATTGTGTGCATGTGTGTGGAAAGGAGTAGGAAATAAAAGTAGGAGGTTAAGACAGGTATTTAAAGGGAATGCCAAGATAGCTGCATTAGAATCTTTATTTTTTAAAAAACTGAAGTCTGCCCAGAGTACCAAAAACATTAAAAAAAAAGAGCAGACATTGGTGCAAGTTTAACCTGTGAGAAAAAAGCTAGTTTTGATGAGAAAAAGTTCAGTCTTTTCCTTGTAAATACAAAGAAATGCAACAGGAATTTTAAAGGTAGTAGGCCAGAAAATGTAACAGTAACTCTTACAATCCTTTTCTTTCTTTCTTTTTTTTTTTTTGAGACGGAGTCTCGCTCTGTCGCCCAGGCTGGAGTGCAGTGGCACAATCTCGGCTCACTGCAAGCTCCGCCTCCCGGGTTCACGCCATTCTCCCTCCTCAGCCTCCCGAGTAGCTGGGACTACAGGCGCCCGCCACCATGCCTGGCTAGTTTTTTGTATTTTTTTTAGTAGAGACGGGGTTTCACCGTGGTAGTCAGGATGGTCTCGATCTCCTGACCTCGTGATCCACCTGCCTCGGCCTCCCAAAGTGCTGGGATTACAGGCGTGAGCCACCGTGCCAGGTCACAATCCTTTTCAATTAAACAGACAAATCAAGTTGAAGACAAGTGTTAAAATACTATTCAGCCTGAATATTTATCAGCATATATATCCTGTTGTTCAATTGGCTTTTGGTTAAAAAAAAAAGTCAACAAACTTTATAAGAGCTATCACCACATTTAGAGTGATGAAAATAAATTAGTTCCCCCCCCCCAAAGATATTGTTTAACCTCTAAAGCATGAAAAGCTATATAATATACAAATTAACCAGTATTTTTACAAAAGTAATACAGTTTTGGACTGATGATATTACACCGTATTTGTGGTAAAGTACTAGGCACAAGAATATATATATCAATTAGGCATTTTCAGTCTAATCAGTCTTTAAGGTTTTCATTTAATTCTTGGCAATATATAATAACTGGTATGCACTTTGGTACTTAAGTCATGACTTGTGGAGAACGAGAAGCAATGTATTATAGCAACGGGGTTCATATCTAACAAACAATAAGAGTGTTGAACAAATCCCTTCTATGAACTTCGTGATTTATTTTGCTGTTGGTCACTTGCAGTAGATCCTTGATTTGATTCTTCCGTATTCATGCTTTCTCCATGTGCAGTCTCTAACATTTCTTCAACTTTGTCATCATCGTGTAGGTCTTTTGAAATTAATTGTCTAGCTAGTTTGATATTGAGTCCTTCATTGTAGTGAAGCGTCCTTCTCATTTCAAATTGTCGCTTTTTTTCTCGTTCTTCAGGTGAGAGGTCACTATCCTCCTCTCCACTGCTTTCTTGTTCCTGAACCTGATACTTTGGCTCCAAGCCTTCAGCAGCAGCTAAGTTCTTAGCAAGCTATCTGTTGCCATAGCTTCAGTGGTTTCTGTATCACTACATGCATCTTCATCATCACCCATCGTACTATGGTAAGGAGTGCTTGGTTCATCTATTTTCATTAAACCATAGTCTTTGTCTGCTGGACGATATGTCGCCAGGATGTTCATTTCATCCCACTTCTGGGATTTTTTGCTCAGCTGCTCGTGGACACTCCCACGGGGATGTTCGGCCGACGCCACCATAGAGGAAGTCGTAGAGGTGTTGTCCTTCAGGATCCCCTTGAGGGGCCGTTGCGAGGCCGTGGAGGCCGCCATTGCCGGGTGCTCCGCCTGTCGGCTCAGGGTCGCTGCTTGGCGTGGGGTCCGCGAACAGAAGGGTCGGCACTAGCAGAGACCAGCAGGCAGACGCGGAGCCCGCTCAAGGCTAAAGCGGCCGCACCTGCTGCCTCGGAAAGGGGTACCGGAGCGGTTGTCAAGACACAATGACCCCGACGCCAGACTCAAGCGGGGAAAAGCGGGCCTAGAGCTCCAGGGCGGGAGCGACGCCGACGCCTAAAACATTCTTGAAAAAGAAGAATAAAGTGAGTGAAAATCAGTCTGCCCTATTTCAAGTATTGTTTTATAGCTACAGTAATCAAGACTGTGTGTTACTAGCAGAGGAATGGACACACAAATGAGTGGAACAAAATAGAGAACGTAGAAAAAGACCCACACAATCTGCCCAAATGATTTTTGAAAGAGGTGCAAAAGGAAGTCAGTGGAAGAAAAATAGCCTTTTTCACAAATAGTGAATTGAACAATGGTGAAATGGAACAATTGGGCATCCATAGGCAAGACAATAAAATAAAAATGAAACTTGACCTAAGTCTCATGCCTTATGCAAAATTTAATTCCAACTGGATTGGATTGCTTGAGTCCAGGAGTTCAAGACCAGCCTGGGTAAGATAGCAAGACCCTGTCTATACACAAAAATGAAAAATAATGTTGGTGTGGTGGCTCCTGCCTGTAGTCCCAGCTACTTGGGATGCTGAGGCAGAAGGATTGCTTGAGCCCAGGAGTTCGAGGCTGTCATAAGCTGTGACACACCACTGTACTCTAGCCTGGGTGACTGAGCAAGACTCTGTTTCAAAAAAAAAAAAATGTCAGAGAAATGCAATACCTTAACCTTTACCAGATACAATTAATTAAAATAAATAAACAAAATGGATTATGGAGTAAATGTAAAGCATAAAACTCTTAAATTTTAGAAAAATAGAAAATATTTGAGCTATAGGTCTAGGCGAAGAATTCTTAGGCTTGACATTGAGAGCATGATCTATGAAAGGAAAAACTGATAAATTGGATTTCATCAAAATGTAAAACTGTTGCTTTGTGAAGATCTGGTAAGTGGATGAAAAAATGAGCTACACAGTAGGAGAAAATATTTGCAAACTATGCATTGAACAAAGGACTAGTATCTAGAGTATATAAAGAACTCTCAAAACTCAACAAAGAAAACACATTAAAAATCCAATTAGAAAATAGGCAAAAGACTTAAGGTAATATTTCACTAAGGAGGATATAAAAATGGCAAATTAGCACATGAAAAGTCGTTCAACATCATTAGCCATTAGGGAAATGCAAATTAAAACCACAATGAGATAATCGCTCCACACCTATCAGGATGGCTAAAATAAAAATAGTGACAATGGGCTGGGTGTGGTGGCTCACGCCTGTAATCCCAGCACTTTGTGAGGCCAAGGTGGGCAGATGACCTGAGGTCGGGAGTTTGAGACCAGCCTGGCCAACATGAAGAAACCCTGTCTCTACTGAAAATACAAAAGTAGCCAGGTGTGGTGGCACATGCTTGTAGTCCCAGCTACTCGGGAGACTGAGGCAGGAGAATCACTTGAACCCGGGAGACAGAGGTTGCGGTGAGCAGAGATCACACCATTGTACCTAGCCTGGGCAACAAGAGTGAAACTCTTTCTCAAAAAAAAAAAAAAAAAAAAAGCGACAATGCTAAATGCTGGCAAGGAAGAAGAGATACTGGATCTCTCATAATTTCTGATGGGAATATAAAATGGTACAGCCACTCTGGAAGATGATTTGGCAGTTTCTTAAAAACAAAACAAAACCAACAACAACAACAAAAATCCAACAACTAAGCATACTACTACCATCCTGCCCAGCAACTGTACTCCTGGGTATTTAGCCCCAAGAAATGAAAACTTGCATACACAAATACACAAGCACAGACAATGCCTTCACACAAAACCTTGTATGCAAATGTTTGTCTAACTGCCTACTCATTGTAGCCAAAGATAACCCAGATATCCTTTAACAGGTAAATGGTTAAACCAACTGTTGTACACTTATACCATGAAATAATACTCAGCAATAAAAAAGAATGACTGATACACACAACAACCTGGATGAATCTCCAGAGAGTTATACTGAGTGAAAAATGCCAGTCCCAAAAGGTTACATACTGCAGTGAGCTGTGATCACGTCACTTCACTCCAGCCTGAGCAACAGAGCAAGACCCCATCTCTAAAAATAGATAAACAAACAAAAAAGATGGATTACAGAGTAAATGTGAAGTGTAAAACTATTAAAATTTTAGAAAAATAGGAGAAAATCTTTGAGATGTAGGGCCAGGCAAAGAATTCGTAGGCTTGACATCAAAAGCATAATCCAGGCTGGGCGTGGTGGCTCACGCCTGTAATCCCAGCACTTTGGGAGGCCGAGGCAGGCAGATCATTGAGGTCAGGAGTTCGAGACCAGCTGGCCAACATGGTGAAACCCGTCTCTACTAAAAATACAAAAATTAGCTAAGCAAGACGGCACATGCTTGTAATCCCAGCTACTCGGGAGGCTGACTCATGAACATCACTCGAACCTTGGAGGTGGAGGTTGCAGTGAGCTGAGATGGTGCCACTGCACTCCAGCCTGGGTGACAGAGTGAGACTCTATCTCAAAAAAAAAAATAAATAAATAAAATAAACTTTATTGAAAAGAAAAAAAAAGCACAATCCATTTGTATAACATTTTGTATTAAGAAGCTTGAAATGACAAAAGTACAGAAATAGAGAAAAAATTCATAGTTGCCAGTGGTTAAGGAAGTGATGGGGGTGGGAAGGAGGTGAACCGACCATAAAAGGGCAAGATAAGGGATACTTGGAGTGACAAAAATACTGTCTTGACTGTAATATTGACATTGACACAAATGTCAATATCCTGATTGCAATACTGTACTGAAGTGTTATAAGATGTTACCATCAGGGAAACTGGATTAAAGGGTAAAAGGTTCTGTCTGTATTATTTCTTACAACTGCATGTCACTCTCTAATTACCTCAAAATAAAAAGTTAAATTTAAAAAACATGTATGAGGATGTGCATAGTTTTTCAAAATACATTTAAGAAGTTCATGAGTGGAAAGTTTGAGTGAATAAAAATTATATCTGGAATTCTGGTTTGCAAATTAGCCTGGGAAATGTAGCCTGACTCAGTGTGACTCAGTTCTATACCACTGTTCTCAGCTCTGCTGTTGCTCACTGCTAATGTTGAAGCCAGATATCTCTTGAGTTGCAGGGCAACCAAGATCCCATGATCCAATGTTGCTCTCACTCACCTTGGCCTTTGAGAGAGAACAGGAAAGAAGATGGAGAAGAAGGATTTTCCCTTTGCCCCATTTTCCTCTTTTTGGGCTGAACTGTGTCCCCCTATAAGTTCATAATGTTGAATAAACCCAGTACCTCAGAACGTGAATTTTTTTTGGAGTTAGAGTCTTTAAAAAGTTAATTAAGTGAAAATGAGGTTATGAAAGTAGGTCCTAATATAGCTAGTATCCATATAAAAAGAGATTAGGACATACATACACAGGGGGCAGTCCATAGGAAGATGCAGGGAAAAGACAACCATCTGCCAGCCAAGGACAGAGACCTCGGAAGAAACCAACCCTGCTGACACCTTGATCTCACATTTCTAGACTCCAGAGCCAGGAGGCAATAAGTTTATGTTGTTTAAGCCATTCAGTCTGTGGTATTTCTTATGGTAGCCCTAGCAAACTAATACATCCTCCTATATTTGGACATAGGCCTGTCCTTCTTGATTAAAGGAATGTAAAAATAAGACTGTTGTCAAAGTTTTAACAAGACTTTATGAAGGCTTGGGCAAAATTGAAAAAGAAAAGACAATAGAAAATTCTTCCATTCTGATCACAGATATTATAGATGTAAGAGATCACAGGCTCCAGTCATCTAAGGGTTCTCCAACTAGAAATAGACGGCTGATGCTACTAATACCTGCCATGTTCCTTGGGCCTTACCACTGTAGTGCACACTGGCTGGACATTTGCATCATTCCTGAAGGCTTCCTCAAAGCCAAGAAGGGCCACTCTGCCCGACTCACAGCAGACTAGAAGGGCCGAAGAGTTCACGTGTCAGGCAGCAGCCTTCAACCAATGGGAATTGATGTACAATTGCCCAACTCCCTCCTTCCGTGGCTGGGTTAACTCTGAGGCAAGTGCTTTCCCAGAATTTCCCCAGGGGATTAAGTTCCAGTCATTCACCCTTCGTTGGCTGTTTTCCCTTCCCAATCTTTTACTCAGCTGCTACTGAAGTTTCATGCACCTCCAAAATAAATTACTTTCATTCATGTCCCTGTGTCAGGGACTGCTTCTGGAAGAAACCAAACGAATGCACCCCGGGTTAGCTTCTAATTTGCTTCACAGCAGTAAAGGTCAACTTTTCTTTGCATTACCCAAGAGAAAACTTAGCCATTACCTCATCATGGTGCTTGGATCCCTAGAACCCTGTCTCTCATGAAACCCTGATTCCTTCCTTTCCTTGTCAAGATCTTTCCTTACCCAGCATGGATGACAGTCCATTCTATTGAGTACTAAGAAAAGAGAGTTTAGAAACTGTCAGAAATATTTTTATTTCATTCAAATTTGTAATATTCCGTAGACCAGAAACAGCACACTCTTTGATCCCATCCTTGTATGCCCAAAATATCTGAGTTGGAGGAGGCACTGACCCTCTGTCACACAGTTTAACTGGATTACAGAGTGCAAGACCCCAAAACCAGTTCCTGACACTCTTTCTGTCTTCAGCCTGTGGATTCTTATCACTTCCACAGAAGAAAATTGGCTCTAAGATTATCCGGAGTACTTCCCAAATCTATTATTTATGGAACAAGTGCTGACTTCAGATATCTAGTAATCTAAGGTTTTTCATCTCCAAAGACCTTTCTTTCATTTGGCCTCTACTGGGTTTTCTATTTTATTTATTTATTTATTTATTTATTGAGACAAGGTCTCACTCTGTCACCCAGGCTGGAGTACAGTGACCTGAACATGGCTTGCTGTATCCCTAACCTCCTGTGCCCAAGCAATCCTCCTGCTTCAGCCTCCTGAGTAGCTGAAACCACAAGTGAGCGCCACCATGCCCAGCTAATTTTTTTTCTTTACTTTTCTTTTTTTTTTTTTTTTTTTTTTTTGTAGAAACTGAGTCTCGTCATGTTGTCCGGGCTGGTCTTGAACTCCTGGGCTCAAGCAATCTTCCTGCCTTAGCCTCCTAAATGGTTAAAGGCATGTGACCATCACACCTGGCCTACCATGGTTTTCAAATGTAAAATTTTAAATGAAAAATCTTAATCTTTTGGTCATTGCTGTTTTGCTGTGGTCTGTCTCCCATGGCATGAGGGGAAATGCGTTATCTGCCTCTGTTGTAGAAAGATGCCTGAGGAAAATAATCCTCAGTTGATGTCTCAGGATTTTTCCTGCCATATACCTGGAATGTGTAAAAGCACAGGAAATATCCTAGTATAACACAAACTACACACAGTTACCTTTGGGACCTAGAATGGAATGGGGAGGAGGGAGAAACAAAGGAGACCTTTTACTCCGTACCCTTCTGTATGGTTTGAACTTGCTGTTTTTTTTTTTATAGACGGAGTCTTGCTCTGTAGCCCAGGCTGGAGTGCAGTGGCATAATCTTGGCTCACTGCAAGCTCCGCCTCCTGGGTTCACGCCATTCTCCTGCCTCAGCCTCCCGAGTAGCTGGGACTACAGGCGCCCGCCACCACGCAAGGCTAATTTTTTGTGTTTTTAGTAGAGACGGGGGTTTCACTGTGTTAACCAGGATGGTCTCAATCTCCTGACCTTGTGATCCGCCCGCCTTGGCCTCCCAAAGTGCTGGGATTACAGGTGTGAGCCACCGCACCCAGCCGGTTTGAACCTTTTATAACAAGAGTGAATCCAGATATTTACTATGTAATTTTCTCATTTAGTCTAATCATTTAGACTAAATGATTAGAAGAAACAGGACTTAAAAAGAAATGAATGAATTTCCACTAGGGGGTGGTAGAGAATCATAATCCATATCATAGTCTGAAACTGAAGGGCAAAAGGAAATAGTCAAGTTCAGAATCACATGCTGCAGCCCATTTGTAATTATAAATCTTTATTAACTAGCTCAGTGTGAGATCTAATTTCTTCATAAATGCCCAATAATATATAATATGCTCTTTTGAGCAACGCTTTTCAGATTATGTTCTCATACAGCCTTTTACAGCCCTTTACAGCTTTTCTGTAAACTGGGCTGAGATGTACCACTAAATGAAATTGAATGATAGGAGTCCATTGTGGTTGGAATAGATACACACAGTGATTGATTTAGGTAGATTAGAAGGTGGATGGATAGATAGATAGATAGATAGATAGATAGATAGATAGATAGATAGATATGCGCACACACATTCCTCTCCTTGAGTCCCCCTGGGTAAGCCGAGGCATGAGTACTCTGAAGGAAAAGCAACCATGAGTGAGCTGCAGCATCCTTACTTAACCTCCAAACTTAACCTTTGTTGTAATATATATAGAAAAATGAGTTCCGAATTCCCTCCTTAATCTCCAACATGCAGGCACTATGCCTCTGCCCAGTTTCTTTACCCATGCCTTTTATTATATCCCATCCCCAACTGAACCCTATCTCGACCTGGTCAATAGGTGTGAGACCCAGATATTCTTATCCGGGAGATGCTATTTCTTTTTTTCCAGAGGCCAGAGGTGGTTTTTAGTAACCACCTGTATCATTTTGCAGGGGCTTCTTAAATGCGTGGCCAGACTCACCTCACTGTGCCTAGGTGCCAATATGGCCTCTCAGCTTTATTCCCCTTGCAATCCAAAATCTGCCAGAACTGGACAGCAGTTTGATCCTTGAATTAGACCGTGGTTCATGATGCTTGCTTCTCACCCTCCCACCAGCTGTGCTTTATTTTTCTTTGATTCTAACTATTACAGAAAAGACAAGTCAGACTCCTTCATCGCTGGGCAAAGTTCCAAGTAAACTGCATTGGGAATCCTTGGCATTTTAACAATGGCTCACTGCTCCCCTTGTGACTAATGGGCAACACAGGCCTGTTTATGAGTTCAAGTCTCTGTCCCTGGATCATGTAATTTTAATTGTTCTGTTACTTCATTTCAATCCTGGTCCCCACAGCATTTTTCTCACTGTTCATTTTCAAATTTAGTGTCCAACCTATTACTGTGTGCTTTTCTTAATCCCTAGACCAAGCACTCTCTGGCTTGCTCATTTTCCCACTTGGGCACCCTGGATCCCAGCCAGAGGTGGCCCTTACCACTTGGCTCCTCCCTCAGTGCCCTTGGACCTCTTTGGCTCGTAACTGCTTCTGCTGAAGGTCATCCTTTTGGCTCCATGATCTTCATGGCTGAGGTTGCTTCATTACTTCTGGAGGGAAATCTTGCTGCTTTCTGTAAACATTTTTTTCTCATGGCATATTTATGTGGAACTGTGCCATTTCTTTTCCTACTTATTCTGAATAAATTGAGCATTCCTGGACCAGATATTAGTGGAAGACTCCTATTGGATGGGGGTGGGATGATGGGTTGGTGAGAGAAGACATGGGCAATAGTAACCTCCCAGGTTTTACAACCGAAGGACCAATCCTTTATTACTAACACGTAAACTTTATCTTAAAATACGCTGCATCCATGTTTTTTCCAACTTGGGGAATTTAATCTATTTCAGGAAGGATTCTACCACGGTGTTAGGACCCCCTGCATTCCAGAGGGAACCTTTGTTATCTGCCACCTTGGAACCTCCAAAACAAAGTCTGCTCCCCCAATATGTGGGCCTTCTTCTGCCTTCCCCAGCATCTGGGCCTCACTGTAGCTCAGGCCAACTGCCAACAGCTCCAACCTAGGCTGGCTTCTACTCTTAGAGAGAGAATATTTTCGGGCCCTTTCCGAGATCCCGCACCACTAGTTCCCTCCACGCTTTCATCTGTTGCCACAGCAACATTTTGGCTTCTTATGCCCAGTTCTGCTCTCCGTTGCTTTAAGCACAAATGACATGCAATTTGGGATGTAACCATACTTTTTGTTTCCTAGTTTCACTAAAAATGAGGTTCTTGTGTGGTTTTCTTTTTCATTCTCTTTGCTGTACTATATAGAGAAATGAATTCTGAACTGAATTCCCTCCATATTCCTAGCAAAAACATAACTCCTTTGAATTGCAATTTTGATTTCCTTTTCAACCCAAAAATTAGTGAGATGTTTTTAAGTTTCCAAGTGGAGGCTTTCTTGTTAGTACTGTTTTGGTGAGGTTTTGTTTTGTTTTATTTTAGTTTTGTTTTGTTTTTCTATGTATGTGTTTTATACCGGTGAGAGAATATAGCCCGTGTAGTTTCTAATTTCTATTTAATTTTACTTTGTGGTTTAATGCATTATGTTTGGGAAAATATGCATTCACTATTTGTTGAGTACACAATTTTATAAATATTTGATAACTTAAGATCATTATTTGCTTTAGCAAAATATCTTACATTCACATTATTTTACAATTGGATATGACAGTTTAGTTTAAAAGTATGCTAAAAGCTCTTAAATGTGTCAATTTATCCTTCCTAACAAAGCACATTTTTTTCCCTAACTTTCAAAGACTTGTTTAGGATATGAAGGCTTATAACTTATGGGTAGTTGGTGAATTGTACATTTTAGCATAATAAAGTATCCTTCTTTGACACTGAAAAATTTCTTCATCATTTATTCTACTTTGTTCAATATTAGTATTTGTAATGGTTTGAATGTGTCCCCAAAAAGCATATGTTGGAAATGTAATATTCAATGCAACAGTGTTAGTAGGTGAGGCTTAATGATGAGAGGTGTTTAGGTCATGACGACTCCATCCTCATAAATGAATTAATGCCAATTACAAAAAGGCTAAAAGCCTGTGAATTCAACCTGTTGCACTTGGGCGCTCTCTCTTTCTCTTTCTCTCTCTCAGCTCTCTTTTTATCCCTTTTGCCTTCCACCACAGTATGAGGCAGCCAGAAGATTTTTGCAAGATGCAGGCCTCTCAACCTTGGATTTCCTAGCCTCTAGGACTGTAATAAGTCAATCTCTGTTCTTTAAAAATTATCCAGTCTTGGATATTCTATTATAGCAGCACAAAATGGAGTAAGACAGTATTTCTATCCATAATTAATTTTTGTTAGCATTTGCCTGAGTTTATCATTGTCCATTGGTTTAATCACTCGGTGTCATTTTGTTTTAGGTGCTTTTTGTTTGTTTTTGTTTTTATTTTGAGACAGGGTCTCAGTCTGCCGCTCAGGCTGGAGTGCAGGGGTGCGACTACGGCTCACTGCAACCTCAACCTTCCAGGCTCAAGCGATCCTTGCACCTCAGTTTCCTCAGTAGCTGGGACTACAGGCATGCACAACCACGCCTGGCTAATTTTTTTATTTTTGTAGAGATAGGGTCTCGCTATGTTACCCAGGCTGATCTCAAACTCCTGGGCTCAAGTGATCCTCCCTCCTTGGCCTCCCAAAGTGCTGGGATTACAGGTATAAGCCATTGCCACCAGCACTTTTTGAATAGCAAATACACACACACACACACAGACCATCTTTACTGAGCAGAAAAATTTAGATTTAATGCAATGATATAAATGGACATTACAAATGCATATATATCTGGATTACTTCTGCCATCATATTTTTATATTTACCATGTTTTTTCATTTTTTAGTCTTCTGTCTCAATAAATTTCATCAAATTGCCTTTGTTACTTCTGTCTCTATGCAAATGATTTCTTATACATCTTTTTCCTTTTTTCTTATGATCCAGTTTTTGAAATATTTTTCTACAAATAAGTAATGCATGTGATGCATATCTACAAGAATTTTAAACATCCATTTTTTCCCACCAGTCACATGAAGGAATGGAACGTTACCCTTAACATTAAAGTTTCCTGTATTTGTCTTCCCTTAGAATCTCCCTTCCTCTCTGCAAAATGCAACTATTATTCCAAATTTGGAGTTGATCATTATCTTGCTTTTCATCATAGTAAATATTGTCTTTGTCTGACAACAAATTAACATCATAATTAATATCAAAATGTAGTTTTCTGTTGTTTTCTTCATTCAACAATATGATTTTAAGAATTATGCAAGTTTATTATTTTATCTGTATTCCACTGATCTTGATGTTGCAGAGAATTCCACATTATGATTATGCCAAAATTTGTGTATCAGTTTACCTGCAAATGGACACTGGGTTGTTTCCAGCTTTTTGCAATTACAAAGAATGCTCTCATGACTTTTCCTGCACATTGCTCTTGGTGCCTTATTCAATAATTTCCCTAAGGTGCATATATATTTAAGGGTAGAGCTGCTATGCTTTAGGATATTCTCAGCTTCAACTCTACAAAATGCCAATTTTTTTCCAAGTAGATTATTTCAGTTTGAAGTCCACCATCAGAGTATGAGTTCCCCTCACCCTACATCCTCATTGATTTTTGATAATGTTAGACTTTTCAATGTTTGTCTATTTAGTGATTTTAAAATGTTATTTCAAGGACTGTTCTAATTCACAATTCTCTGATAACTATTGTGAGCTTAACTTTTGTACGTTTATTGGTCTTTTATATATCCCTTTTTGTGAACTGCCCTTTCACATCTTTTGATCATTTTCCTATGGGGCTATTCTTAGATGTTCTGGATATTGATCCTATGTAAATTATGTGTGATATAAATAAGTTTAGATTGTGGCTTTTTTTCCTTTAGAGTGTGTTTTGATTAAAGTTTCTAATTTTAATGTGGTCAAATTTATTCATCTTCTCTTAACATTTTTGTTTTTAAAATGTGTATGTGTGTCTTTTTAATAAATATTTTTCTACCTTGAAGTCATACAAATATTTCTTTCACATTTTCATTTAAAAGTTTTACAGTTTTGCCTTCAATACGTCGGTACTTAGTTCATCTGGAATTTATTATGATGTATATATATCCACTAATCCAGTGTCATAAATTCAAACTTATTGAATTATACATCCTTTACCCACTGGTCTTTAATGACCATTCTTCACATACAAGGGGTCCTGACACTCTTTCCATTCTATTCTATTGGCCCAGTTGTCTACTCCCTCTCTCACCAATAATAGCACATGGTCTTAAATCCAGTGGTGTATATAATATCTTCTCATGTAGTCAGGAAATTCCCCAACTTCCTCTTTATTTTCAATGGTATTTTGGCTCTTCTTGAACTTGTGTTCCTTCGTTTCATTTTAATATCATTGTGTCCAATTCTATAAAACATTTTGTTGAAATTTTTCTAGAAATAGCATGAAACTATAGATCACATTGGGGAAAACTGGCATTTTAATGATATTGATGCTTCCTAACCATGAATGTGTCTCTCCATCTGTGCAGTACTTCTTCAACTTCTTTTAATGATTTTAATTTTCCCCACTAAGATCTTGCATGCCTTTCCTTTTTGAGAATTTATTCCTGATTACAGTGGACCCTTCAACAATGCGAGGGTTAGTAGCGCTGACCACCTGTGCAGTCAAAAATCTGCACATAATTTTTGACTCCTCCAAAACTTTACTAATAGCCTACTGTTGATCAGAAGTCTTACCAATAACATAAAGTTATTTAACATATATTTTATATTTTTATGTGTTATATACTGTACTCTTACAGTAAAGTAAGCTAGAGAAAAGAAAATGTTGGCCAGGTGCGGTGGCCCATGGCTGTAATTCCAGCAGTTTGGGAGGCTGAGGCAGAAGTGCTTGAGACAAGGAGTTGGAGACCAGCCTCAGCAACATAGCGAGACCCCATCTCTACAAAAAATTAAAAATTTAGCCAGGTAGGGTGGCGTGCACCTGTAGTCCCAGCTACTTGGGAGGCTGAGGTGGAGAATCGCTTGAGCCCAGGAGGTTGAAGCTACAGTGAGCCATGATAACACTGCACTCTAGCCTGGGCAACAGAGCAAGACCTTGTCTCAGAAAAGCAAAGAAAATGTTATTTAAAAAATCATAAAGAAGAGAAAATATATTTACTATTCATTAAGTGGAAGTGGAGCATCATAAAGGTCTTCATCCTCATGTCTTCATGGTGAATATGCTAAGAAGGAGGAAGGGGAGGAGAGGTTGGTCTCGCTGTCTCAAGGGTGGCAAAGGCAGAAGAAAATCATATATAAGTAGACCTGCACAGTTCAAGCCCATGTTGTTCAAAGGTCAACTGTACTGTAAGTTTGTTATATAAACCAGTTAATCACATTTCTACTTTTTTGTTTTTATAGAAAATGCAATAGATTTGTTTATATATTTAGCCAACCACTGTGCCAAACTCTTAATTCTTATGTTTTAGATTATTTTTCTCTGTAGACAATTGTATCATCTATGAATAATGAAAGTTTGCTTTATTTCATTCCTATCCTTCCAACTTTTTTTTTGGTCTGTTGTTAAAAGCCCCCCTATCCCATGCCTAAGTAATAAGTAATCTCAATATTACATTCCATCTCATATAATAAAATTTGACTTCCTAAAAGGGCTTGCTTCTTTTTAATTCAATGTCAATGCTGGAATTTCAGTTCTTAGCCTTGAAACCCTGGTGAAAAAATTCTCAGCAAGGTAAGAAGGAAAAAAATGTTCTCCCCTGCTCCTGAAGCTGGAGAGAACAATAAATGAAAACTGTTGTCATAAATGGTTATTTCTAACAATTTTTCAAACCCCTAGACTTCAAATATTTTGGACAGGACCTGACAAAATGACCCTTAATCTGTAAAACATCTGTACTTTTGACCACTCATCTTTCTTAATAATTCAGTTCTCTGGTGATAATGTTTGAGCTTAAAATCTCTATCTTCAGAAGGTAACGTGATTTGTGAATTTTCTGTCAAATCAGGAAAGAATCACTGGCATTGCCCTCTTCCCACACATGCATAGGATAAAATAGCTCTACTGGACTTTTTATTAATCAAAGAGCCCGAGAGACAGCTGAATGGCTGAACCAAGCAGAGAGTGGAAACTTGGGGAGGGTAATTCCTTGCTGGGCCTTAAAAGGAGTCCACAAGATAGGAAAAAAACGAAAAAGCCAAATAAGATGAACCTCTATTCAGGCCCCAATGAGAGGCTGCTTGACTCTGATCTTTCGTTAGCTGGCTCAAAATTTTGTTCTTAAAGAATTATTTTTACTCAAAATCAAGAACTGTTAGAAAACAAGAAAAATTATGGAGTTTTGTTGTTGATTTCCACCTCTCTACATATATATATGAAATACATATCTCCTCCCGATACACATGCACACACGCAAAAACATATTTAACTGAAACAACGGTTTCATGAAACTATAGTTACTCTCATTACCTGTGATGCAGGCAAGTATTTTCAATTGTATTTTATTCTATTTCATTCTACTTGGAAAAAAAGTCTTTTGGTCTCAACATAAATGGGTTCTGACCTGCAGTTTCAAGCCAATACGTTACAGTAAGAGTAAATGTAGGGTTTCTCCCAGTTTTATCTGGCAGTCCCAAAGTCAGGATCAGAGTAACCGATGGAGCATCATTTGTACGCTCCACGTCTGAGGAGGAGGTCTGGGAAAAGATCCAACGTGTAGGACTGGCGCAGAGGCTCAGGCCTGTAATCCCAGCACTTTAAGAGGTGGAGGCGGGAGGATAACTTGAGGTCAACAGTTCGAGACAAGCCTGGCAAACATGGTGAAACCCCGTCTCTACTAAAAATACAGAAATTATCCAGGCGTGGTGGTGCGCACCTGTAGATCCAGCTCCTCGGGAGGCTGAGGCACGAAAATCGCTTGAACGCGGGAGGCGGAGGTTGCAGTGAGACAAGATCACACCACTGCACTCCAGCCTGGGCGACAGAGCGAGACCCTGTCTCAAATAAAAAAAATAATAATAATAATCCAATGTGTCCCTAGTCTGGCTTTCAGGGTCTTAGATGAGGTTCGGAAGTGGACTTAGGAGCCTTAGGAGCGCAGCCAGTGCTGTGGATTCCCACATCCACGTGACCTGCGGTTTCGCGTTATTCCATTCAGGGATAGATGACGTCCCTCATTTCTACCTACCAGTGGGCTGGTCAAGATTCTCATTTATCAAGTCAGTTGGAGTGGGCTTAAGTAAGTTCTCAGCCAAGGCTGTGGGGTCTGGAGGACCAGATATCCCGACCAAAAGCCCCCCCTCCCATTCCTTTCACACGCCTGCCGCAGAGGTGCACGGGTGCGAGTGGGGAACTGAGGCAAGAAGCAGATGGGGCGGCACCGAGAGAAGAGAAACTACGCTAGAGGAAAAGCTCGAGCTGTTACCCCTCCCAACTTCTTCCGCCTTCCGCCTTCCCCCTTCCCCCTCTTTCCCCTCTTGCCCCTCTCCAGCTTTTCTGGTCCAACCCTCTTCTGCGCCTAACACTGGCACCTCCTTTTCTTCCGGCTGATGAATAATTGTCCGCAAACCAGCCTCTCTGGGGCACTGAGGGGCGGGAAGGTTAGAAGGAGCCAGGGCTAGAGTCCTGGAAGGTGGCAGTCAGGTCGCAGGGCCACAGCAGTCACTCTGCGACTCTCTCTTCCGGTGTTTCTCCAGCGCCAAGCGGGAGAAGACGGAGCCTGGGAGCTGGGACTGGAGGAGCGGGAAGCGCAGTATCGGGACCACGGCTCTGGGACCAGGAAAAACGCAGACTCTCCAGAGTCAATGTCTACTTCAGCCAGCTCAAGGGCGCGACAACCTGGCGCCGAGCATCTCAGGCCGCCGCGGGGACCCCCCCTAAGGGACTCGGGAACACCTGCCTACCCTAGAAGAGGCGGAGAATAACCCCGTAGGGAGTTAAGCGGCCTCTGCCTACAGCGTTCCTCCCGCCTCCACGGCGCCGAGCCCTGATTGACGTTCAGCCAGGCCAATCATAGCCTGTGTCTGAGGCGCGCGGAGCTGGAGCGCCCAGGGCATGTCCGCCGATCCCAAGGAGGCAATCTGTCAGGCGCCGCCCGGGCGGCAGTATGCCTGAGGGGGTCCTCCGTGTTCGCGCCTCCCGCCGCCTGCACTGAAAGGTCTGTACCTGAGCCTGGATACTTGAACAGAGGCAGACACTGCGGCTCAAAACCCCAAGGGTAGGTGCCTATTGTGCGGAGTCTCGGAACGCCTGCCTGGAAGAAGAGTTCCGGCGGCTCCCCGAACGCTTGGAGAAAGCGCTTGGATGCAGTTGCAGGGTGAGATTTGAGACGGTGATTGTGTTTTCCAGCAGGCGCTCAGGCGGGGTGGTGAAGGAGGGATACAGACCTCTAAAGATTCCTCTCTCGTTGGGGTGAGGTGGGGAACAGCAGTGACAGTAGTTCTCATCCCTGAGCCTCCTCCGGGCCGGCCCGTGGAGGAGAGAGAAGGGGAGGGAGAAGGGTTTGCCCAGGCCTTCAGACACTTTACTTTGTGGGAGATGTATGTGCTGAGTGTCCCTGCTCTGGAGGGATTGTTAAAGAATCCAGGTTCTTGGGGAGTGTCTCAGGAGAACACTCCAGGTGATATCCTTATTCTTCCTATTTTCACCGTGTTGGTTTTTTTTTGGATATAACTTGTTCCCTTTAACCCGAGGTGGCCTTGGTGTCTGGCAGCTGTTTTCTCTGCCAGGCACCACCCTCTGGGCCTCACGTCTTCATCCCTCAAGTCCGCTGCCTCTGAGCTGCTACTTAGATCTGGTCTGTTTCTACCTCTGCTGGACCAGAAGTTTGCATTAACGCCCCCACCCCATCCTGCAAGACCGGCGCTTCCAACCAAGGGCTCTCTCCTCTGAACCTAGAACCTGCTTGGAAATCGAGTATTTCCTCTATGCCCAGGTGGAGATTGATGTTTGGGTTTCACATCTCCCAACTCTGTTGGGTACTATGTCGTTTCTCAGCTTGGTTGTATGTGCCTCCATTGAGTGGACCGTATCTCCAGAATTTCTCCTAACCCTCCCAGTGTACTCCCCTGCAATCCTTTCTTTTTTTCTCCAAATCCCCCACCCCCCACCAGAAATGACTTTACCCCTGTGCCACTTATTTTGGCCTGGAGCACTAAGGAGCCATACTACACCCAATGCCAGAGGTGGAACAGAAATGAGGTTTGAAATGGGAACCAGAAGCTAATCTGTGGGAAATTCTTTTACTCCTCAGACGTGTAAAGATGTGTTGGAGACTCTCGTAAATATGTATTCAGTAATGCAGCATATACAGTGATCACCATGTATTCATTTTTTATGGGAATCAACAATTCAGAATGATCAAAAATCCCTGTGTGTAGAGACATGAATCTATAGGAATATCACACATAGTGAGCACAACTGTGAGTGAAATCCCATGTTTCATGCATCCCAGCAGTCCCAAAGGGAGCCTCCAAATGTGTACGGGATTCAGACTCCATGTAACCTGCATCTGTCTATGCACTAGCTATGTGAGCTGTTACCTCAGTCTTGATGAGGTTACTCAGGAAGTCTGGGATCTTGATTTTTGCCGGTCACTGATCACCTGGCTACAGGAAAGGAGACCTAAATCCAGAACTTAAATTTATGAACACCAGGTCTGTAGGCACTAGACCTCAGAAGTAGGTGAGTAGGTGGCTATTGGTTGGTCCCTTCTGGAGTGAGGCAGAGATACCTATGCCATATGCAACATAAAAGGTTGCCTGAGCCCCTCAGCCTGAGGTAGAGTAAGGAGGGAGAGGTGGAGAGGGACTTTCTTCTCAGACCAGGGAAATCAGAAGCCATCAGATGCCTTCAGTAGGGAATCCAGCACAAAGAGGATCATAAGTCATCTCCCCACTTCTCTATAGTCATCATAGACGTAATTGCTAACCTACCCTTCCTTGGTGCTCTGGTTAGTAGAGTGAAGTTGAGATAATATAAATGAAAAAACTGAGCAGAAAGGGAGTGAGGATACGGGGCCTCTTCAGTTTGCCTTATGGGCTTCCCACTCTAAATAGATGAGGTACACAACATTCTGGCAGTATCACACTAGGGCCAGAGTTGGTAGCTCACAGATGTACGATAGAGGATGGAAGGAGTATGCCTCTCAGGCAGGCAAGTTTAGCCTGGTAGACAGAGGATGTGGCTTAAAAGTCACTGCCTACAAGACCAGTGCATGCAAGTGAGTCCCTGCTGCTGCTTGGATCAGAGGAGGTGAGGCAGAAGGCTGATGAAAACCCACCAACTGATGGTCAGTCCGAGAAGCAGTCAAGATGGAGAACTGCAAAATTAACAGCTTAAGTTTTCCAGGAGTCTCAGTGCCCAATGTCAGGTCTACCAGGGATGTCCAGCCCCTCTGGTCAGAGCCCCAGGAGCCTTGTCTGAATGTGGATCCCCTCTGCTTATTCAAAGAGACCTGGGAAGCTGAGCCAGGAACCTGGATAATGACCAGAAAGTCACCCAGACACCTGAGAAATGCCTCCCTTATATCCAAGAGATCCCTGTGTGTAGAACACATGAATCTATTGGAATATCACACACAGTGAGCAGACTCTTCTTACACTTACTAAACTCTCTTCGTAGATTTACTAAATTTTTCACCAGTGACTCAATGGAGCGAAACCAGGTCCCAGACTCGATTTAAAAAAAAAAACCACACACACACACACACAAAAAGTTCTTTAGGTGAGCATGTATGCATGTGTAAATGGTACTATACAATGGTATGATTGGATAGTCAAAGGAATATCTAACCCAAGTGTACATAAGGAGTAAATTTGGAGTCAGAGGAAGTTGGTCATTGTAGGAAAGTAACTGCTGCAAGAAAGATTTCTTAGAATGTAACTGTCTAATATGAGGCATTTATGCCTCTTTTCCTCCATGTTTCTAGTTTCTGCCTTGGGTTTGGCATTTATTGTTTATCCTGCTTCAAGTATAAGACTAGTGGTTTATTCGAGGGCCCACAACTTCCACTTCTACCCTGGCGTCACACAGATCATTTTCTCTTCTCAAGTCATTGTATTTTCACTGGTAGTAAAAGAGGATAATATCTTCATCTTCAAATAAATTAGTGGGAGGGATTCAAATTATGAGGGAAAAGAAAAATTGGTTCTTCTGCTGTAGGGAAGGGTTACTGAAAATTAAAGGACAACCTACTGAGCTGAAGAGAGCTTTGGGGTTTGGTAATTTGGGGTGTGAGGTGGATCTTCAGGAATGCCATGGGCTTCAAGACTAGTGTGTCTCTCCCTTAGTATGTTCCTCCTCAGTTTGAGAGGACTTCCTGGTAAAGGACTGAAAGAAATGTCCACTCCATCATGTCTCTGCTGACACCTAGCTTCTCTTCTCCAGTTATAAGTCCATTTTCCTACTGGGGTAACACAAGAAAGAGGAAGAATAGCTCAGGGGTCTTCCCTTCACATCTCTCCTACAAGGATTGTGAAATGTCATATGCCTCCTCCCATAGACTTAGACAGACCTAAAATTGTCAACATGTGTCCAGATAGTTGCAAAAAATATATAATTTCCAACATATTCTCCATATTAACACTTTAAAATAAAACTGTTAATCGCTCATATGTTCAATTCAATCTAAATATCATAATGTTTTGACACCCATTATCATTAATTTAAAAAATATACAAACAACCTCTTTCTTAATGGTTGGAAATTTTACATTGCTCTTTTTTCCCACTTTGAATTCATATTTTTATTCTACCCCCCATGTAGAATTTTTCTTTTTCTTTTTTTTTTTTTTTTTGAGTTCTCAACCCTGGTTACATCCTAATGTAATTTTTTTCTTTGTTCTTGGAAATCTTTTATTGAGCCACCTATTCTGCTTCTTTGCAACAAAATATGTTCTTACATTGAATTTTTAATTTCTTGTTGTAAGTGTAAAAGTTATATGGGCTGGGTGCAGTGGCCCACACCTGTACTCCCAGCACTTTGTGAGGCTGAAGCAGGAGGATTACTTGAGCCCAGGAGTTCAAGACCAGCCTAGGCACATAGGGAAACCTCATCTCTACAAAAAAAAAAAAAAAAAAAAAATTACTGGACATGGTGGCTCCTGCCTGTAGTCTCAGCTACTTGGGAGGCTGAGGTAGGAGGATCACTTGAGCCCAGGAGGTCGAGGCTGCAGTGAGCCATGATCGTGCCACTGCATGCACTCTACCCTGGATGACAGAGTAAGATGCTGTCTCAAAAAAAAGTTATATGGATTAAGATAGGATTACCAACTGTTAGAGATCAAAATAATGTCAGTACAGATTGGATATGCCTTATTTGAAATGCTTGGGACCAAAAGTGTGTTGGATTTCAGATTATCTTGGATTTTAAAATATTTGTATATACATAATGAGATATCTTGAGGCCGGGACCCAAGTCTAAGCATGAAGTTCACTTATGTTTCTTATATACATTATGCACATAGCCTGAAGGTAATTTTATACCATATTTAAAATAATTTTATATGTGAAACGAAGTTGTGTTAAGTACAGTACTTACATGTGGCATCATATTGGTGCTCAAAAAGTTTCAGATTTTGGAGCATTTCAGATTTTCTGATGAGGGATGCTCAATCTGTAATACACATTTTGGTAAATAAAAGTGTAAGTTTGTAATGGTAAAATTTAACTAGAAATGCATCTCTTAATGAGATGGATAGGGACTTTATTTTCCCAATTTCATGTTGACAAATGTTACTTATTGTTAATGAATCTGGGCTGTATATTATTTCAATTAAAAAATTTTAACATGAAAGAACTAAGGAATCTTGATCATATAAATGAATGAGAAAATAAAGACTTGTTGAGGCAACTTCACCCAATTTTTAAAATTTCTTCTTAGTCGTATGCAAAACTCACATAATGGGCTATTATTAAATAATATTTTTAATAATCTGTCAGCTGACAACTCAAGTATAAGGTTCTTCTTCAATTTTGTTGAAAGCAAAGAATTAGAAACCAATTGACTTGCAAAACTATTTTTATACATACATTAGGTTCTTTCACTTTGTTTTTAGAACTATACCAAAGACTTCACAAAGTCTTATAAAATAACTAATAATTATACCTGCTGCTCTTTCCCTTAGAGATACCTTGTTCATGAATCTCAAATTAGATAAAACTAGGGTTAAAGAAAAACAACCCCCCACACACAAAATTGGAGATCAAAAATCAATAGGTTCTTAAAAAATATCTCTTCATTTTTTATGTCATCTGGAAGTGCCTTTTAAAACTATGACACAGAGATGGTGCTGTATAGTTTACAGTTCATGTGTGTGTGTGTTTAATTTCATTATTGTACAAAATTGTTAATTTTATAATCATGCATTTGATAGATGTAAAACAGTGTGTCAGCCTCCAAGCGGGAGAAATTAATCCAAAATAAATGAAGCTGGATTTCTAAAGTTTAGAGCATCACATCCAAGATTGCATTTGGGAACATTCTGTTTTGTATCCATACACAAATGAATTTCTGTTTTTAAGAACACAATTTAATCTACTTAGTGGAAATCAACAGCAAAATGAAGAGAAGGTATTAGATAATTAATAAATATAGGTTTACAGAAATTCTATTACTGACTGCTATTATGTGCATTAATTACAGCAGAATCCACAAAACATTTCCATCAAATTAAATCTTACTCTAGGAGGTATATGATAAAAATAAATAAATGAACAGAGAAATAACAGCATACTATAAACTGTTACCCAAATAGAAAAATATATTTACACTATCCAGAAATCTTTGGTAAAAGTTAATGAAAATATTTCCCCTATTAGTTAGAAGAAGTTCAAGAAAACATACATTAAAATACCTTCAATATGTGTTTGTTTTACTCCAAGATGTGATGTTGATCTGTGAGAAATTAATTTTGAGCGTTTTGCCTCCACTGCCTTGAAATAATGCAAAATAAGCAACTGAGCTGGGGGCAGTGGCTCATCCCTATAATCCCAGTGCTTTGGGAGGCCAAGGAGGGAGGATCGCTGGAGCCTGGGTGACAGAATAAGACTCTCTCTCTCTCTCTGTGTATATATATATATATTTGCAACTGAAGCACAGATGGGACACAGGTAAGTGGGAGAACTCACCAAGCTCTTTGTTAGTATTTAGAGTGTTTCATAGAAAGTTAATATTTCTTAACTTTTTTTTTTTTTTTTTTTTTTTTTACAAATTTAGAATATCCTAGCTCTGAGACAAAAATTGGGAACCTCAGCATGAGTTTGTCACCTGAATGAAATAAAAAAAATCACGTTGAAGGCTGGTGCAGTAACATGTGCCTGTAGTCCCAGCTACTCTGGAGGCTGAGTCAGGAGGATCACTTGAGACCAGAAGTTCAGGAATTCAAGACTGGCTTGAGCAACATAGCAAGACTTCATTTCAAAACAAACAGAAAAAAGCCACCACCTTCAGTATTTCTTGCCAAAGCAAAGGAGCCATTTGTTCTTTACGATGGTCAGGAAAGGAAGCATCAAGGTCATCAAATGAAAAATTTTCAGCATTTCAGCCTCTCTGCTCAGGGAAATACCTGAATCTAGAATATCACAACATGAGCCAAAACCGCCCCATTTCTCATGCCACATGTCACTCTTAACACAAGGTTACTCAACCTCGAGCATGGTTGGCATTTGGGGCTGAATAATTCTTTTTTGTAGGGGGCTGTCCTGGGCATTGTAGGATGCTCATGAGCTACCTCAGTCTCTACCACCCACTAGATGCCAGTAGCATTGACCCCTGATCTCTCTACCCAAGTTGTGACAACTAAAACCATCTCTGGATAATGGAGGAACCTTAAATGCATATTGCTAAGGAAAAGCCAATCTGAAAGGATTACATATTGTATGAGTCCAACTATATGGTAATCTGGAAAAGGCAAAACCATGGAGACAGTGAAAAGGTAGTGGTTACCAGTGGTCCATGGGAAGGGTTGGATGAATAGGTGGAGCACAGAGGATTTTTAAGGCAGTGAAACTATTCTGAATGATACTGTAATGGTGGATACATGTCATACCTTTGTCAAAACCAATAAAATATAACAACCAATAAAACTGCACAAAGAGTGAACCCTAATGTAAACTATGGACTTAATAATGTATCAATATTGGCTCACCAATTTTAACAAATGTACCACACTAATGCAAGATGTTACTAATAGTGGAAACTGGAGGGAAGAGGGCTTGAGGGGACATACAGGAACTCTCTGTAATTCCTGTTCAGTTTTTCTGTAACTGTTAAACTGTCCAAAAAAAGTCTGTTTTTATAAATGGAGGCATGGTTTTATATGGACTAAAATACTATGATTGCCTTTTTATTTTACACATGGTGAAATTAGAGCAGGACATATTTTAAACTCAAAATTCACAAAATTAATTTATGAAAATGTTTACCCAGATCAAGAATATTAAAGAAACTTAGATTAATATTGTTACCTTGAATTTATTTTACTGAGTAATCCTCTAAGACTCCTCTACACATTATTAATCTAGAAGGATTTTTAAAGTCTTTATGACAATTAATTATTGGTCTACAGTCAAATTGCATATCCCCATTAACTAGAGTTATATTTTTCCATTTTCTGATCCAAAAACTTTAGGAACAGGAAATGTTTATTTTAGAAAACAAGAACACTTCTTAAGCATTTGCTGTTAACAGTTATTTTCACATGTGCTTGTACTTATTTTACACTTGTCAGAACATAGTATTTACCTTTGAACCAAGGTTTTATAATAAGCAAGCACTTTTTTTATTTAGAAGTCACATTTTCCAAGTAGAAAAATCATTAAAAATTCAGTCCTCTGAAGGCTAATTTCTTTAAATCATTTAACCTAATTGTTTAAGGTATAGATTGGAATTTTTCTCAGCACTCTCTTGAAAACAGGTGACAGTGGAACCCTGTTAGGTTCACAAATCCTAGACTTTGATTATATAGCCCAGGCTCAAATTTTTCTCGAATGTTACGAACATTCAAAGCATTAGGAGTCTTGGTTTCATTTCTTAATTTTTTTTCTTCTGGGTATATTTGAGACTCATCTTGGATTCAAATAAATTAATAATAGTCTCATGAAACCGATAAAAATGGGAGCTCCATTGAACATGAGAGACATTGATTCGTAGTTTCTAACATCCTCCAAATGAGGAGCCCATCCCTAATTTAGATGCTTCTTTCAAAGGAGGCTCCTTTCCTTCGTTATCCATAATATAGTCACACCAGTCCTGAAAAAACATGGAACAGACTCCAGATCTTTATATTTCATACTCTAAAGTCGTACAAGCCAATCTGCATTTCCTCTAGTGGAAACTGTATAGCTGGTCATCTTTCCAGGACCCTTTTATCAAGAAACAATGCAGCTTCTACATTTGTGCTGCTTCTACACCAAAACAGCTGGAATGTATATAGTATGGTTCTGGATGCTCTTGTATACCTCACTCTTCATTTCTCACCTAACCCATGTGCTATGATTTGAATGTTTCTCCCCTGCAAAACTCATGTTGAAATGTAATTGCCATGATAACAGTATTAATAGGTGGAATATTTAAGAGGTGATTAGGGTGGGATTGGTGATGTTATAAAAGGGTAAGTTCAGCCCCTTCTTGCTCTCTCTGTCACCCTTCCACCTTCCTCTGTGTGATGATGCAACAAAAAAGCCCTTCCCAGATGCCAGCATCTTGATTTTGGACTTCTCAGCCTACAGAACTATAAGCCAATAAATTTCTGTTATTTGTTATTAGTCTGTGATATTCTGTTACAGTAGCACAAAATGGACTATGACACCATGTGTTTACACAGAAAGAAAAAAATATCATACGGTAATTGCTCCTAAATATGCAGAGAATATGTTCTGATATCCTTAGTGGATGCCTGAAACTGCAGATAGTACCAAACCTTATATATACTATGTTTTTTTTCCCATACATATGCATGTTAAAGTTTATAAGTTAGGCAGAGTAAGATATGAACAATAACTAATAATGAAATAGAAACGTAACGATGTGCTGTAATAAAAGTTATGTGACTGACACCTCTTTTTCTTCCTCTTTCTCTCAAAATATCTTAATATTTTCAAGCCATGGATAACTGAAACTGCAGAAAGTGAAACTGTAGATAAACTATTAACTCTATTTAAACAATAAAAGAATTATAATTATATTCTTGGGAAAATTAACAATTATCCAAAGTCCCTTTGCAAAGGGAAAAAAAATGCATGTATTGGAAAAAATCTCAACCACAGGGTTCCCTAAGCTTTGCAAACAACAAATAGCATCCACCTATCCATCCTCAGAGAGCAACAGTTTTACTGTTATTTAGAAAAAGCAACTATTTCAGGCTGCAGGTTGTGCACATCAGCACTTCCCAGCTCTCTACTAATATGGGAAAACTGACTATCCCTGACTTCAGTTTTTGTGAAGCTAAATGCCTGACTAGAGTTTAAACTGAGGCTAATTGGAGATCATAAAATTTTACAGCTTGCTAGAGGTGGACCACGATTTTGATTGGAAACTTTCCACCAACCAATTCTAAAAGGTGTTAATGGTGACTATTTTCTAAAACAAATCTGAAGAGTAACTAATATGATAAGACCAGAAATATATTTCTCTGGCAAGTCCCTATAAAAAGAAAGCTAGGTAATTAAATAATCTCTCAACAATATTGTTTTAGGAAACCCAATAGAGAGTTTCACAGGCCTGTTTCTTATGGGATTGCTCAATGTAGGTAAATATTATCAAACCAAAAAGTAATTTTGTAACAGAAATTCTACAGAGCCCCAATACCTTACAGAATGATGAGTACAACAGTAGAAACAAATAGAAGATAACCTAGAAAAATAAAGCGAATAACTTAATGGCGTGAGTTAGGTTAAGAAAAGCTTCCTGGAAAAAGACATCTGAATAGAATTTTAGTAGATATAGCTAGGAATTCCCAAGCAGGTAGAAGAAGGGGGACATTCCAGGCAAAGGAATCATGTGAATGCAAAGGTAGGGAGTCATGAATCAATATGTTCGGTTTTTTTGTTGTTTTTGTTTTATAAAGAGCTATAATAGGCTGGGCACAGTGGCTGTAATCCCAGCACTTTGGGAGGCTGAAGCAGGTGGATCACTTGAGCCCAGGAGTTCGAGACCAGCCTGGGCAACATGGCAAAACACTGTCTCTACAAAAACAAAAAAAATTATCCCTGTTCAGTGGTGTGCGCCTGTGGTCCCGGCTACCTGGGAGGCTGAGGCGAGAGGAGTGCTCAAGGTGGGAGGTGGAGATTACAGTGAGCAGAGATCACACCACTGCACTCCAGCCTGAGCGACAGAGAGACTCTGTCTAAAAAAAAAAAAAAAAGCTATAATAAGATCAGCTTACTAGACAATACAGTGAAATGGGGGAAGCTAGAGAAGAGAGGTGGGCAGTGGCCTCTTATGCTACGTAAGAGATTTGACATCATAAAGTAAGTTGCCAGAGTTCTGAATGAGGGCATTAGAAATAGTAATGAACAGGAAAGCATACACTTAAGAGCTGTCTGCTGTCTGGGAGGTGGAATTTACACTGAGTACTGAGTAATAGAATGAAGGGGTTGAGGGAAAGGTAAGAATCTAGGGTGAGTGTAAATCTTCTGGTTCAGGGGATAAACAACAGGAAGTCATTGAAATCTATTGGCCTATCCGCATTTTGAAATTATTTTTACTCATGTAAGATTCTGTAACATTATATGGTCATTAGGAAATATCTGTTTACTGAATTATGGAGGTATTCGAAATGTTCAAACATTTCATGCAATATCAAAAACTCAAACTGGCTGCAGTGGCTTATGCCTGTAATCCCAGCACATTGGGAGACCAAGGCAGGAGTACTGTCTGAGCCCAGGAGTTCAAGACCAGCCTGGGCAACATGGCAAGACCCCATCTCTACAAAATTTTTTTAAATTTGCCAAGAGTGGAGTGCACATCTGTGGTCTCAGCTACTTGGAAAGCTGAGGCAGGAGGATCACTTGAGCCCATAAGGTTGAGAGCTGCATTCAGTGAGCCCTGTTCATGCCACTGCAATCCAGCCTTAACAACAGAGCAAGACCCTGTCTCAAAAAAATATTATATTCATTAATGTTGCTGCTGATATCAGAAAAAATTCTAAGTATCCCACAGTAGCAGATACAAGCTTTTCAAAATTCCAACTTCTACTTTTAAAAGCTTAAATTTTAGCACTGGCAACAAATACAACTAGTTGTTTTCCCTAAAGTGATAGTATCACTGTTTATTTTCAAGAAAATGTCTGCCAAATTCCCAAGTCTGAATAATCAATTTTCTGTCACTTTTTTTTTCCAAGTGAAAAGATGGTGTTTCCATGAAAGAAAAGAAAAAGTGGCTAATTCAGCTTGCAACTCAAACAAGTGTTTTTCCAAAAGACAACTATATTTCAGCATGCAGTAGAAGTGTTTTATGGGTACATCACATTGTGTCACAAAGAATTTTTTTAAATGTGCTTAAGGGTTGAGATTTAGTAGAAAATAATTTTTACAACTTCATCAAGGACATTATTTTAGTAAAACTGTTTTTTTTTTACTACGAATGTGTGGTGGTGAAGAATACAATGACTACTAATAAAATTTGGTGCCATTGCCTTAATTCGTGCTAAGACACCAGTCATTTTACCCACCATTGGATAAAATCCACCATTTTTGCACCATCAGTGCAAATGTTAACACAGTTAACACAGTTGTTGAGGATAAACCACCAGATTCAAAAAAGTCATATAACACTTTTAATGTTTCAGAACCCCTGTTGCCCAGAATTCACATAAAAGAAGATCATCAATGGTCAATTGATGCTGATACCTGATGAATGAAAGCAAAACAGGATGTATAGCCATCTGTAGATCAGTCCCTTTGTAAGGCTAAGGTACAATTCTTTAGATGATATATTAACTCAGTCTTTATGTTTGCAGTTAAATCTTTAATTTGACAAGTTATTGCATCATTGGAAAATGCCAGCACTATGCATTCTTGTGGTGATTTTTCATCCAGCAGGTATTCAGCAATGTCAACTGTTCAAGCCTTTATTAGTCTCTCTGTGATTGTGTGTGCTCCTCTAGCCAATACAATATGATGGCTTATCCTGTAAGAAGCTTTTAAAGAGTGTATTACATCTACATTTCGGTTATTTAATTCCTTTTTTTAATAAATTCTGAATGATTGGTCCCAAAATGATACTGCAACTTTGTTGGAACCATATAAGTGTTTGAAAATGTTTTACTGCACAAGACACAATATGATAAATTATTAACATCTATAAAGCTGAACAAAAGATCACTTTCAACATATTTTTGTTGTGTATAGTTGTGCTCAGTTTCTTTGGAATAGATTTCTCCTTTTTATGAGGAATCAGATAACTTGCTGATATGTCAATGTCATCCTTTTCAGCATCTCTAGACATAGGCAATCTAGACACCAGAAAATGTGTTTTCTCTTCTCCCTTTTTAAAGCCAACCATCCACCCTATTCAGATAAAATTTTTTAATTAAAAACATTTTTGAAAAATATATTATTGCAAAACAACAAAGTAAACATAATTTTTGTTATGTTTCTGTGTAAAAGGAAAAACTTTAGGATTTAAAAATGATTTCTTGGAAGATAATGAGATTACAGAGATTATAACAGGTATAACTGAAGATAGCTGGTAAGAGCATGGTAGAAAAGAAATAATTTCTGAAAACTACATACTTATACCGTAAACTCACTACCTTTGAAAACTCTAGAAAATACAATACACAGGCACACAATCTGTTAGGTATCAGAGAAATAGTCATCACTATTCATCACATGCCATTGTTGTCTTTGGCGAACCCTTCTGTACACTTATGAGAGTGAGAGTAAAAAAAAGGCAAATAACATCTTAATTTTATGAATATTTTTGACCTTGTTGACCCTCTAAAAGGATCCAAGGGATCTCTCCCTTCCAACATCCCCAGGAATCCTCTGATCACATTTTGAGAACTGTTGGATAAGTCAGTTAATATTGCAGGAACATAGGCTATCACCATGGGGAATAAATGAAACCAGATCTCTACCTCACACCATTACAAAAATAAATTTTAAATGAAATAAAAGGCTAAATGTGAAAAGGTAAAGGTTTAAAGCTTTGGGGGGGAAATGTAGAATAACTTTATTATCTCAAGGTAGATAGCCTAACAATACCACGTGCTGAAGCAGAAATGTGAAGAAATGGGAATTTGCATAGAATCTTGGTGGAAGGGTTAGTTTTCCCACTTATTTCAACTACTTATTTCACATATGCAGTGTTGTACAAATTTAAAGAGACAAGAATCCTACAGACAAGCAATTCTATGTTTATATGCCCTAGAGACCTGAAGACATTCTCAAATACAAAAACAAAGAAGTATGCATAAGGATGTTCATTGCAGGTTTGCTTATAATTGGTGGAAAGTCAGGGGATGCCCATCAGTGCATAAAAAAGTAAATAAAATTGTGTTGCCTTTCTACAATAAATTGTGCAACCATTAAAATAAACTAAATGTCCATATTTCACAAGGACAATTCTCACAACATAATAACAAATGATATGCACTAACTTTAAACTAGTAATTGCATCTGGTGAGGGAAAAGAAAGGTGGACCTGAAGTCAGGTGCAAACAGCACAACTGTATTTGAGTAGTGGTTGCATGACTGTTGTTCCATGTATTTTCTGTATGTTACAAATATTTACTATTAATTATAACAACATAAGATGTACTCTAACTCCTTCATGCTGCTAATTATAGAATATCTACTTTGTTGACTAAACCCTTTAGCATATATATATATATATATATATATATATATATATATAGCCTATTTCTGTTAATGGTTCTTTGGATAAATAACAGTTGACTTTGTTCCTCTGCTTGGTATTTTAAAAAACCTATTAGTTTACAAATCTCTTACTAATTTTAGTTTTAATATTTGTATTGTTAAGTATTTTAAACACACAGAAAGGCAAATAAACCCCCATTACCCAAACACCCAGCTTTATTAAATCTTAGTATTTTGTCCTATTTGTTTCAATGGTTTTTTTAATAAATCAGTGACTACAATAAAATTGATACCTCTGAATCCTTCCATTTTCTTTTCACTGCCCCCAGATATAACCACCAATGTGAAGTCAGTTTTATCATTGCTATGCATGTTTTTAATATTTTTACTAAATGTTTATGAATTCTTAAACATTATGAAGCATTATGTTATAGAGTTTTTAAGTTTTATAAAATATTATCTAATACTGTTACTTTAAGAAAACCTGCAGTAACCCCTTCTGAAAAAGATTAATCACACGTAATTTGTTACATATTAAAATAACTGCTCCTAAATAGTGATGTGGCCTTGGGCAAGCTCTTTCAAGTTTCTGTGAGCTCCAGCTTTTCCTTATCTGTGTGGTAAAAGAATATGAGACTATGTCTGCGCTCTCTTTCAGATTATAAGTCTCTATAAATTATTCAACTCAAATGTCCCCATGGGTTTACTTAAAGGATAGTTTTGTCCACTTATGAACAACTGTGTTTCATCAAAATCAGAATTTACTGAATGTTCATTCATTTTAACTTTTTTAAGTGGTTTGTCACAGAATTCCTTTCAATGCTGAGATTTTCAAATATATTGCAACCATCGAGAGGACATTCTTGAATATTCACTATGAGCCTGATGCTATGCGAGGTGCCAGAGATACAAGAGGGAACTTGACAGGTACAGTCTGTCTCCCACAAAGCTTATGGCTGAGTTTTTAAAATATAATTCAAGCTTTTCAGGAATACAGTCAATCCATAAAGCAATAGGGAGAAACATTTCCAATATCAAGAGGCACTGATGAATGAATGTGTGAATAACTAAATTTTGTAACTTTTTTTGTAGACATAAAAATAAGCATTCACTGTGTCATCCTTAAATAAAATCATTGGCAGAGTGTAGCCTATAAATGTCTGGAAATACCTCACCAAAGGCTAGAAGACATTTTGCCAGAAGGAAGTAATGTTTACATTTCTATATTTTGTTTCTTTTTCCTCTACATATGCATTTTGTCCTATGTCTATGTCTCCTTCTTAATAGGCTTTGACATGAACCCAAAGCAAATGTTTCCTATTATTTTATCTATTTATTGAATATACATTGTTTTCTGAATGCTATTCCTTTCATTTACCAGTTCTAGTAGTCTGGGTTTGCTCTTATTTCTCTTTACTCTAAAATGGTTTTTTTAATCTGTAACACAGAACTTAGTGCTTGGTTATATATAGGTAGGCATTGTTTTCTAAAAACACTGGTTTACAAAATGGAATGTGCACACTACAGGGAATGTGCAAATGATCCTTGAGGATACAGGAAGGAAGTGTTAAAGTTTCTATTTATTTTGGTAACTTATAAACTTTCTATTTGTTACAGTGTGAGTTCTGGTGTATATAGTCAAGCCATATGCTAGTACATGGGATAATGTATAAATAAACATGTAAGTGTCGATAAGTACTCAACTCTTTTTTACTGAGAGGGCTTTAGGCTTTTTTTTTTTTTAAGTTTCAATACCACAGTTCAAATGTGTGTGTTGGTCTTATCTATGTAATTGTTTTGTGTGCTCTTTCAGGGAGTGGTGGTGTCTTGTGTCTCTTACTCTGTCCAAAGGACCTTGTATGTATAAATGCGAATAAATATTTATTGAACTCCACTAATAAATGATTCCATTCTTCAGACCATCAAACTAAGGACTACGCTTTGAACATGCTTTGGAAACATTTTCATTAAAGCCAAAATGTCTCAGAAATGTTTAATTAAAAAATAAAATTGGCCGGGCGCAGTGGCTCACGCCTGTAATCCCAGCACTTTGGGAGACCGAGGCTGGCAGATCACAAGGTCAGGAGTTTGGGACCAGCCTGGCCAATATGGTGAAACCCCGTCTCTACTAAAAATACAAAAATTAGCCAGGCATAGTGGCAGGCGCCTGTAGTCCCAGCTACTCGAGAGGCTGAGGCAGGAGAATCGCTTGAACCCAGGAGGTGGAGGTTGCAGTGAGCCGAGATCACACCACTGCACTCCAGCCTGGGAAACAGAGTGAGGCTCTGTCTCAAACAAAATAAATAAATAAAATTAAAAGGGAAGACAAAGATATTTTTCTTTGTACCAGTAGAAGGAAGATTTAATGAAAAATAAACTGCAATAGTAAATTTAGAAGTAATACTGAAAGAGCAACTGGGAAGTCTTAGATGAAGTTGTCACCAGCTTCTTCAAAGCAATGAAATATCCAGTTGTCCCATTTAATTCTCATTTGGTATAATTTTTCATTGATAAGAATAATTCATAATTAACCAGCTTACATATGCTTCTTAAATTTTAGTGTACATAAGAATTGCTAAGAAGTAGGCTTAAATGCAAATTCTCAGGCTCCAGCCCAGGGATCCTAATTCAGCAGTTCTAGAGGTTATTCAGAAATCTGCATTTTCATGAAGTACCCTGGATGATTCTAATGGATGTTGTCTGTAACACAACTTTCAGATAAATGTCCTGTATAAGCATATTCTATCTTGCCATTAGCCATGAGAATTTGATTAAAGAAACAAATCTAAGAACCCAACTACTAGTCTATTACTCCAACCATTCCTTCTTGCCAACTGTGATCAGAAGTATGAAAAAAACAGCCCATGTTCTTCCTTAGAGGAAGACCATATCCCAACTGTGAAATGGTCCAGACATCTTGGAACTGAATATGGATTGTGATCCTGATACCCCCAACCCTCACTGCTCTTCATATACCAGCTGAGCATTTCATAATATTTATTCGATAAACCTTTCCTTGGTCCTGAGCCTCCTTGCTTCCCGACCTACTCCATGTAGCCTGGCTACTCTTATTTCCATGAGGTGGGCTGTCTTCTGGCCCTCCCATCATCCCCAACAGATGTGAACATGAGGGACCTTGGAGCAGGGGTAGATACTCCAGTGCAAAAATAGTGGACACTCACCTCTTCTAAGACCTTTTATCAATCATTCTCTAAACACCTCTCAAACATGTCCTTCCCTTGTATTTCCTCTTTCAGTGGATTAAACCACTGTCCACTCAACTGTCTGAGTGAGAAGATTGGATTCAGTGAGTTTTCAGGTCCTACCAAGTCTATTTCAAAGTGTCATTTCAATGATTTTATTTCCTTTGCTTCTAAATAGTGGCATACATGGATATCAAGTACTGTAGTGGGTTCAAAATTGGAGAAATGGATTTTGAAGTCATCTTTTTGCAGGTACAAGAGAAGCCATATTGAGTCAGTCAGAGAAGAGAAGACAGGAAAAGTAGAATAAAATCTTTAGAATATTCAAAGCATTACACAAATGTAATGTTTTATTATTAACTGTGACTTCATTTTGGTTCCAATTCTGTCCAGAGAAATTTGAATGCTGGAGTTTTGGGAATTTTAAGGCTTTGAGCAAGGAACATTTTATGATCCTCTGCTTACCACTTGTTTATTTACAACAGAATTTCAGCAATGAAGAGAAAGTTATTTTTGTAGGAAAAAAAATCCTACAATGCTTACTTCATACAAATTAGTTGTGCCTTGGGTTCAGATTAACATACACACTCAAAAGACTTGGTGGGCTGTTATACGGCAACTTATTTATTTAGCTTTGTAGAGGAATATTGGATATGGAAACATAGCTTGTCAGCCTGACAGCATTAGACATCTTCATCAGGAGTCTTTATGTATTCTAGATGCTGATTCTTAACCCTCTCATCTCATGGGAATATGCATGGTCATAGTAGACAAGACCACAGGAGTAGGGGAGAGGCACGGGGGAGCCATTCTAGGATGGAAGAATCTCTCACATGACAGGAACCACATCTTATACCAACCCATGAGTGAGGATTCCAAGAAAACAGGCATATTCGGATTCAAGAAACACACCATAACAGAGTCCAGGGCCTACATTTCCCAACAGGTTTTCATACGGGTCTGGTCATATAGGTCCACCAAGTCTAAATGCCTGCCCGCAGTCTGCCCAGCATAGATGTAGTTCACCAACCAGGGGTCATTTCCACACTTATAAATAAATAAATAAATAAATAAATGTGATTTTTTAAAATACAGCTGACATTTCACATTTATCCAAACAGTACATTTCAAAGAAACAGTAAGTATAAGGTAAACTGGAGTTCATCTTCCCATGGGAAAAAAGAGCTTAAAACTGTTGTTAACCCTTTGACCTACCAACAAACATTGCTTACTCCCACTCAAGAGCTCATTCCAGTTAGGACACAACCTGGTGACAGCCCTTCCTGGTAGCAACTACTGAGCATTGCAAGGAGAAGAAATTGGGATGGGTGCCTATAAAGAGAAAAACTCTCTTTTTAACCTTCAAATCTAAAGAAAATCAATCCAACAAGCATTTGCTGCAAACCTAGTGCCAAGCACTGCCACATAGGAAGATGCATCTGCCATCTGTCAAGACAGACTGAGGGAGGAATGGGGGTAGAGACCAATTAGAAAATAGGAAAAAACGAGACCAGCTGGGGACAGCTGCAGCAAAGCACCCTGAGGATACTAAACACCCTCAGTATTTAGCTAGGATGGCCTAAAAGAGCTAATCTGAAAGAATTCATAAATCATATGGATGCTTCTATTATAAATTAGAGGAAAGGCAGATTTATACATCATGAAGCCTATAAGGTAAATATTATCTAGTAGTATGAACATAGCTTCACCACACAGCCTCCTAAAAATCTATGGATACTTTCCTGAAAGTACCCCTGAAGGCATTCCTCCTGGATTCTGTGAAGTAAATTAGCCCTCAAGGTGTACCCAGCAAGGGCTCAATAGAGTGCACAATAAATGCTCAACACACATCTATCTTCCTCCCCTCCCACTATCCAAGCTTCATGCCTACCTCATGAATCTCCAAGTTCCTTTCTCTCCTGTCCCTGGAGCATAGATGAATCAGAATCCCTGCTTGCCACCCCATTGGACACCTTGAAAAGAGACCCTTGGAATGGCTATGACAACACATCAGTCCTGGCTACGAGTGTAAGACCCTGGGCATCAGGAAGCCTCAGGCCATGAGCTATTGAATGTCGCTTGTCACTTTGCCCTTTGAGGACCAGAAATAAAGCTTCCAGTTCCTGTGAAATGGCAAATAGGTAGGTTCAGGCTTCCAGCTCCCTCACCCAAAATTAATTTTTGTAAAGGTAGAGAAGCAAAAGGAAGCAAGGATCTGGGGAGCTGGCAACACCAGAAATAAGTATAAAGTGTTTTTATATTTGCCAGGAGAGACAGAACTGCTGTCTTGAGCTGGTGTGCGTAGAGAATGGGCAGGGCTGCATCCTGGGAGATAAGCCACAGTGGGAGAACAGGCTGCAGGAAGACTTTTTAATTTCTGCACTATGTCCTTCCCAATCGGCTTGGGACAATTGTTGCCTCCCCTTCATACATAAACAGGCTGCAACAGGCCAGGCTACTTGTATCTTCAAGGTAAATCAGTAGGGAACAGATGAAACTAGGGGTGAGCTTTTGGGTATTCTCTTCTCCACTACTCACGACCACTGCCCCAACTCCCAGCGCTGGTGAATCCCAACGTGGAGCACCTGCCTACTCCCAACTGTGCTTTTCCTAGGAGTTGCCTGAAAGAGTAGTGGCAAATGGGGAGATCCACAGTGTTTCTGGGCTCTCTACCAGGGCTGGATCTGGAGGGACACAGACCAGTATTTGACTTTATCTCTTCCCCATTACACATTACCCCACAGACTAGCTGGTGCCCTCCTGGAGACGTGAGCTCACAGATCAACATAATGATATGGCTAAGGAACAAAAAAATTGCAAAACATAGACAACAAATTAACACCATATACTATCTAATGCAGAATTGTGAAGAAGATGAACCAAGAACTTGAAACAAAATGGCAAATATACTTAAGATAATAGAAGATACCAGCAACATAAAGCAAAACCAGTAACTCACAAAAACAAAGACAGAATATTAGATGTTAAAACTATAACAGTAGAAGTTGTAAATACTATAGATTAGACAAGTACCAGGATAAATATAGCTGAAGAATAATTTGTGAGGTAAAAGATAAGATGAAAGATAATCCCAGAAGACAGTAGGAAAGAATAAAGACATCAAAAATATAAAAGAAAGTTCAGCAAAATGTATGCTAGAAATAGAAGTATCAACATCTGAATCATAAGAGAACTCACAGTGAGAGGAAAAAAATATATACGTGAGAAAATAATGACTAATAAATTTACAATTTTTTTTTAATTATGAAAGACCTCAGAGAAAAGGGTTCAAAGGATACTTAACAGGAGCTTCAGAAAAATCCACACCTATGCTCGTTATATTGAGACAAATAAATATTTTTAAAACTTAGAAAGAAGAGTTTATCAACTGGGCACAGTGGCTCACGCCTATAATCCCAGCACTTTGGGACTTTGGGAGGTAGAGGCGGGTGGATCACTTGCGGACAGGAGTTCGAGACCAGCCTGGCCAATATGGTGAAACCCTGTGTCTACTAAAAATACAAAAATTAGCCCCGCCTGGTGGCGTGTGCCTGTAGTCCCAGCTACTCGGGAGGCTGAGGCAAACCCGGGAGGTGGAGGTTCCAGTGGGTGACAGAGTGATACCCTATCAGAAAAAAAAAAAAAAAAAAGAACAGTTTACAAAGGAGTAAGATCAGATTGATGTCAGACTTTTCAACAGCAATGAATGCAAGAATAAAATAAAATAATATTTTTATAGTAGTGAAGGAAAATAAACTGGAGTTTAGAACTTTATATGTATCAAAATTGCTATTCAAGTGAGATGGCATAACAAATTTATTATCATGCAAAGAATCCAAAGGCTCATATTTAAAACACTCTTGGACGTGGAAAAAAAAAAAAAAAAAAAACACTCTTAGAGGAAGTACACAAAAAGAGAATCAAATCAAGAAATTTACAACAACAAATATAAGGGTGATTTGTCAACAAATCCAGGACCATATTTTTAAAAGAGGGTAAATGAATGTGTGTGTGTGTAATATCTACTTGGTAGGAGAATTGGCATTAGAGGGAGGGAAGTAGAAAATCAAAAGAACATAAGAGTATGCTAAAGAACTTAGGAGGCAAGATATAAATATTAAGGTAGTTAAGACATTTTAAAAGGTAAATGCTCACTGTGTTAAATTAAAGGCAACCACCATAAGAACAGAATCAGTATGTATAACTTTTAATACAGCAGAAAAAAATCAGTCTATCAAATGGAAAGCAAGAAAAGGGAAGAAACATTGTACAATAAAAACAGAATGTGAAATGAGTTGCAAAAGTAAATCTTTACTTCAGCAGTTACCAATAAAAGAACAAAGGCTCTAATAATGGAGGAAAAAGGGAACCAAATCATGTGTGATTTATAACAAATACTCTTTTTTAACTTTTAAGTTCAGGGGTAAATGTGCAGGTTTGTTTCATAGGTAAACTTGTGTCAGGGAGGTTTGTTGTACAGATTATTTCATTACCCAGGTATTAAGCCTAGTATACATTAGTTATTTTTCCTGATCCTCTCCCTCCTCCCACCTCCACCCTCCAATAGGCCCATGTGTGCAGTTCCCCTCTGTGTGTCCATGTGTTTTCACAATTTACCTCCCACTTATAAGTCAAAACATCTGGCATTTGATTTTCTCTTCCTACATTATTTTGCCAAGGATAATGGCCTCCAGCTCCATCCATGTCCCTGCAGAGGACATGATCTCATTCTTATTTATATCTGCATAGTATTCCATGGTGTATGTGTATCACGTTTTCTTTATCCAGTCTATCATTAGTGGGCATTTAGGTTGATTCCAAGTCTTTGATATTGTGAATAGTGCTACAGTGAACATATGTGTTCATGTGTCTTTATAATAGAATGATTTATATTCCTTTGTGTATGTTCCCAGTAATGGGATTGCTGGGTCAAATGGTATTTCTGTCTTTGGGTCTTTGAGGAATTGCCACACTGTCTTCCACAATGGTTGAACTAATTTACACTCCCACCAACGGTGTAAAAACGTTCATTTTTCTCCATAACCTAGCCAGCATCTGTTATTTTTTGACTTTGTAATAGTAGCCATTCTGACTGATGTGAGATGGTATCTCATTGTGGTTTTGACTTTCATTTCTCTAATGATCAGTGATGTTGAGCTTTTTTTCATATACGTGTTGGCTGCATGTATGTCTTCTTCTGAAAAGTGTTCATGTCCTTTGCCCACTTTTTAATGGTTTTTTTTTCTTGTAAATTTATTTAAGGTCCTTATAGATGCTGGATATTATACCTTTGTTGGATGCATAGTTTGCAAAATTTTCTCCCATTCTGTAGGTTGTCTGTCCACTCTGTTGATAGTTTCCTTTTTAGTGCAGAAGCTCTTTAGTTTAACTAGATCCTGTTGGTCAGTTTTGCTTTTGTTGCAATTGTTTTTGGCATCTTTGTCATGAAATCTTTGCCAGTATATCCTGAATGGTATTGCCTAGGTTGTCTTCCAGGATTTTTATAATTTTGAGTTTTATATTTAAGTCTTTAATCCATCTTGAGTTAAGGTGGATGGTGTAAGGAAGGGATGCAGTTTCAATCTTCTGCATATGGCTACCCAGTTTTCCCAGCACCATTTATTGAATAGAAAATACTTTCCCCATTGCTTGTTTTTGTCAGATTTGTTGAAGATCAGACAGTCATAGGTGTAGTTTTATTTCTGTGTTCTTTATTCTGTTCCATTGGTCTATGTGTCTGTTCTTGTACCAGTGCCATGTTGTTTTGGTTACTATAGCCCTGTATAGTTTGAAGTTGGGTAGTGTGATACTGCTAACGTTGTTCTTTTTGCTTCAGATTGCCTTGGCTATTCTGGCCCTTTTTTGTTTCACATGCATTTTTAAATAGTTTTTCTAGCTCTGGCCGGGCACGGTGCCTCAGGCCTGTAATCCCACCACTTTGGGAGGCCGAGGCAGGGGGAATCACTTGAGGCCAGGAGTTTGAGACCAGCCTGGCCAACATGGCGAAACCATGTCTCTACTAAAAATACAAAATTAGCTGGGCATGGTGGCGCATGCCTGTAATATCCCAGCTACTCGGGAGACTGAGGCAGGAGAATCGCTTGAACCTGGGAGACAGAGGTTGTGGTAAGCCGAGATCGCACCATTGCACACTAGCCTGGGCAACAAGAGCAAAAACTCCGTCTCAAAAAAATAATAATAATAATAATAGTTTTTCTAGCTCTGTGAAGTATCTCAATGGTAGTTTAATAAGAAGAGTATTGAATCTATAAATTGTTTTGGGCAGTATGGCCATTTTAATGATATTGATTCCTCTTATCCATGAGCATGAGATGTTTTTCCATTTGTTTGTGTCATCTCTGATTTCTTTGAACGGTGGTTTGTAGTTCTCCTTGTAGATATCTTTCACCTCCCCAGTTAGCTATATTCCTAGGTATTTTATTTTTTTTGTGACAATTGTGAACGGGAGTTCATTCCTGATTTGGCTCTCAGCTTGACTGTTGTTTGGTGTATAGGAATACTAGTAATTTTTGCACATTCATTTTGTATTCTGATATTTTGCTGAAGTTGTTTATCAGCTTAAGAAGCTTTTGGGCTGAGACAATGGGGTTTTCTAGATATAGGATCATGTCATCTACAAACAGGGATAGTTTATCTTTCTCTCTTCCTATTTGGACGTCTTTATTTGTTTCTTTTGCCCAATTGCCCCAGCCAGGACTTCCAACGCTATGTTGAGTAGGAGTGGTGAGAGAGGGCATCCTTGTCTTGTGCTGGTTTTTAAGGGGAATGCTTCCACCTTTTGCTCATTCAGCAAGATGTTGGCTGTGGGTTTGTCATATATGGCTCTTATTATTTTTGAGGTATATTCCTTCAATACCTAGTTTATTGAAAGTTTTTAATATGAATGCATATGGCAAATCCTCTTAAAGCAGAAAGATATGTAAAGATTGAAATTTAAAAACAGGGAAAAAAGATTTACCTGGTGGCAAATACGACACAAAAGAAAGTTGGGCAACAGTCTCAATATGTAACAAAATAGAATTGATTTTTTTTTGGGAGGGGGACAGAGTCTTCCTCTGTCTCCCAGGCTGGAGTGCAATGGCACAATCTCGGCTCACTGCAACCTCTGCCTCCTGGGTTCAAGTGATTCGCCTGTCTCAGCCTCCCGAGTAGCTGGGATTACAGGTGTGCCACCATGCCCAGCTAATTTTTTGTATTTTTAGTAGAAACAGGGTTTCACCATGCTAGCCAGGCTGGTCTTGAACTTCTGACCTCAGGTGATATACCCGCCTCAGCCTCCCAAAGTGCTAGGATTACAGGCATGAGCTACCGTGCCCGGCCTATGCACTTTATTTATTTATTTATTTATTTATTTATTTATTTATTTTTGAGACAGAGTTTCACTCTTGTTGCCCAGGCTGGAGTGCAATGGTGCGATCCCGGTACACTGCAGCCTCTGCCTCCTGGATTCAACCGATTCTCCCTACTCAGCCTCCCGAGTAGCTGGGATTACAGGCATGTGCCACCATGCTCGGCTACTTTTGTATTTTTAGTAGAGTTGGGGTTTCATCATGTTGGTTAGGCTGGTCTTGAACTCCTGACCTCAGGTGATCCACCTGCCTCAGCCTCCCAAAGTGCTAAGATTACAAGCGTGAGCCACGACGTCCAGCCTGCACTTTATTTTTAACCTTAAATTCTATTTTGGGCCAGGTGCAGTGGTTCATGCCTGTAATCCCAGCATTTCGGGAGGCTGAGGAGGACGGATTACCTGAGGTCAGGAGTTCGAGATCAGCCTGGCTAACATGGTGAAACGCCATCTCTACTAAAAATACAAAAAGATTAGCCGGTCATGGTGGCACGCACCTGTAATCCCAGCTACTCGGGAGGCTGAGGCAGAAGAATCGCTTGAACCTGGGAGATGGAGGTTGCAGTGAGCCAAGACTGTGCCACTGCACTCCAGCCTGGGCAATAAGAACGAAACTCCATCTCAAAAAAAAATAAAAATAAAAAAAATAAAGTGCATAAAGGACAAAAGAAAAGATGTTCATATAACTTTTAAAGAAACAAGAAGATATAGTAATCATAAATATATATAAACTCAACAATACAGCCTCACAATTTATAAAGCAACAAGTGAAAGAACTACAGTTAGAAGTTGAGTTTTTTAAAAATACATTTGATGATTTTTACAAACCCTCTCTCAAAAACTGGTAGATAAACTAGACCAAAAAGAAAAAAAAAAAAAAAGCAGAGTTCTTGAAGGGCAAAATAATAAAATTATATAAGTTCAAGCTAATTAATAAAACCTGAATAAATAAGAAACTGATAGACTCTCTCACATTAAAAATGACCAAAGAGACATGAAAACTTACTGAAATGCTTGATTCTGGATTGCAGGACAAGAGACTGGGAGTGGCTGGAGTTATAAGGTTCTTTATTGGGAAAACTGGTAAAATTTGAATATGTACTGTGGATTAGCTAATATTATATCCAAGTTAAATTTTCTTAATATGACTGTTTTTCTGTGTTTATGTAAGAGAACAGCCTTGTTCTTAGGAAATACATTGAAATATTTAGCAGGAAAGGGGCATGTGTGTATGTAACTCCAGACTTCCTAACCATTTTAGAGTAAACCATTTTTTCTCTCTAATGTTTTTTCATAACCATTTTAGAGTAAGTCCCTAAAATGGACTTAGGAATATTAATGTTTTTTAGGAAAAAAACAGAGAGGGAAGCAGAGACAGAGAGAAAAAGAAAGCAAATATGACAAAATGTTGCAAATCATTGAATTTGGACAAGTGTACGTAAGAATTCTTTGTACTACTCTTCTAAAATTACTTCAAAATAAAAAGTTTTTAAATGTCACAAGTAACCTGTGAGTTAAAAGAAAAATATAAAGAATATGTAGAATTAAATAAAAATTAAAACACTGCATATCAAAATGTGTTAGATATGATTAAAGCAGAACTTAGAAGGAAATTTTTTACCTTTAAATACACTTACTAGGAAACACAAAAAAAGACCAAAATCAATAAGCTGAGTGTTCAACTCAAACGCTAGGTAAAGAGGAACAGAATACACCCAAAGGAGGAAGGAAATAGTAAAGATAGTCATAAATGAAATAGAGAACTAAAAACAATAAAATAGATGAACAAAAACAAAAGCTGCCCTTTGAAAAGACATTTCTATTTATTATTCCAGGAAACAGAATGAAGAACAAAATCTGCCTAGGTTATTGTTTAGAGAAATTTTTATTACAAAAACAAACAAGGAAATACAAGAAAGGCAAGTTTTACGTCCATGCTTTATAAAAGTAAATACAACAACCCAAGTAAAATATTAACTAAATAACACCAACAGTAAATGTGTAACTATAGGATGAACAAATAGGGTTTATCCCAGGAATGCAAAGATGTTTCACATTTTAAAAATCTCTCAATATAATTCACTATATTAGGAGATTAAGAAGGAAAATACAATGAAATGAGTCAATTCTGATAAACTATTTTTTAAATGTAAAAAACCATTTATGTTTAAAAAATAAACTTTTAGAAAACCAGGAATAAAAGGAAACCTACTAATTTAGTAAAGGTTGACAGCAAAGACTTCTGGAAAAATTGAGTAGACATACTTTTTCCTATTCATCTCACTAAGTACAACTAAAAACTCTGGACATTATATATATATAAAACAAACATAAGAAGACTCTAAAAGGTGGAAATGAGAAGGCAGAACAGCTAGAATCTCAGGATCTGAGGAATGACATACTAGTGAGTTCCCTGGGCTTTCTTTTTGCCACATATATGCTGGGCTTGGAGCTGAAGAAAGTGACAATTTGGAAAGACCAACTGGCACAAACAAACAAACAAACAGAAAAAGCCCCAACAACACTTACAACAAAAGCCCTGATATCACTAGCCAAAAGACCAAGACAGAGGCAGGCAAGCCTGTCAAGCCTTAGAAAGTAACTGTTCAGTTCTAGGCAAATACCATAGCAATAACTGTGACTCTACTGCCATTCACACCAGAAAGACCAAGTGGGAGACCTAAACTTTCACCCTCTTGAAGCTGTAACAAGGTGCTCCAACATCACTCTGCAGTGGTATCCAAGAAGACCAATTAGGAAGCTAAGAATTTCATTTCTGCAAGCCAGTAATGGGGCCCCCTCTCTAAGATGTCAATGGAGATGGGGGCGGGGGGAGAACACCTGCCCAGAAATAATGAAAATGGCTAAAAGAAGTTATCTAAACAGAATGGAAATGATAAAATAGGAACCTTGGAACATCAAGGAAGAAGATAGAACAAGGTAAGCAAATAGATGGGTAAATACAATAAATTTTTCTTCTCCTCTTAAGTTTTCTAAAGTATGTTTGATGGTTGAAGCCAAAATTATAACACTGATGTGGTTCTAAATGTATGTAGAGGAAACATTTAAGACAATCGTATTTTCAGTGAGGAGGATAAAGGGATGGGACATAAATTAGGAAGGTAAGATTTTTATTATTTACTCAAAATGGTAAATGATGACTCCAGCAGACTGTGACAAGTTACATGTATATGTAATACTTAAAGCAACCACTTAAAAGTTATGCATCAATACACTCAAAAACACTGTAGATAAATAAAACTGGCGTTCTAAAAAATGCCCAAGTAAGCCACAGAAAGTCAGAAAAGAGTAAACAGAGATGAAAACTGGAGAGAACAAACAAAATAAATGAAAAACAATTAAGCCCTTCATGTTACTACAGGTTGGATTGTGTCCCACAGAATCCCATGTTGAAGCCCTAACCACCAATGGGACTATATTTGGAGATAGGGCCTTTTACAGAAGTAATTCAGGTTAAATGAATTCATAAGGGTAGGGCCATGATTCAATAGGATTAATTCAATAGGAAGAGAAACCAGGGTATGCTCTCTTGCTCTTTCTCCCTCCCAGCCTTCCTCTCTCTTTCTCTCTCACTCTGCCCCCAGAAGATGGCAACTCTCTCTATAAGCCAGGAAGAGCCCTTACCAGAAGCTGACCATGCTGGCGCCTTGATCTCAGACTTCCAACCTCCAGAACTGTGAGAGAATATATTTCTGTTGTTTAAGCCACCTAGTTTTATTTTGTTATGGCACCCCAAGCTAATACATATATCAATAATTACATTATTCCTAATACAAAGAAATGATAAATTCTTGAGGTGGTAGATGCCCCAATTACTCTGATTTGGTCATTGCACATTGTATGCCTGTAACTAACATCACATGTACCTCACTAATATATACAACGGTTGTGTACCCATAATAATTAAACATAAAAATTAAGAAAAAAAATTACACTAAATGCAAATGATCTAAATACCTCAATTAAGAAACCCAGTTCAGGCCAGGCATGGTGGCTTACACCTGTAAACCCAGCACTCTACAAAAAAAAACAAACAAAAAACAAAAACAAAAACAAAAAAAAACCCAGTTCAAATATAACAATATAGGCCAGGCTCAGTGGCTCTCAGCACTTTGGGAGGCTAAGCCAGGTGGATAATTTGAGGTAGGTCAGGAGTTCGAGACCAGCCTGGCCTACATGGTGAAACCCCGTCTCTACTAAAATACAAAAATTAGCCAGGCATGGTGGTGTGCACCTGTGGTCCCAGCTACTCAGGAGGCTGAGGCAGGAGAATCGCTTGACCCTGGAAGACAGAGGTTGCCGTGAGCAGAGATTGTGCCGCTGCACTCCAGCCTAGGTGACAAGATGAGACTTTGTCTCAAAAAAAACACAAAACAAACAAAAACAACAATAAAACCACACAAATATAACAACATAGGCAGGTTAAAAGTAAAAGGATGGAAAAAGACACAACATGTTTTCCTTAATTAGAGGAATACAGGAGTGAGTGTACTACTCTCAGATAAGGTAAACTTCAGAGCCAAAACAAAAAAAATTACCAGAGAAAGATAAGGACGTTTTATAATAATAGAAGGGTCAGTCTATCAAGAAGACATTGCAGTCAGAAATGTTTATGCCCAAAACACCAGAGCTGTAAAATATGTGAAGCAAAAACTGACGGAACTGAAAGAAAAAATAGAAAATCCACAATTATAATTGGAGACATCAACACAACTCTCACAACTATTAATAAAACTAGAAAGAAGGCAGGGAGTGGTGGCTCAGGCCTGTAATCCCAGCACTTTGGGAGGCCGAGGGGGGTGGATCACGAGGTCAGGAGATCGAGACCATCCTGGCTAACACGGTGAAACCCCGACTCTACTAAAAATACAAAAAATTAGCTGGGCGTGGTGGCGGGCGCCTGTAGTCCCAGATACTCGGGAGGCTGAGGCAGGAGAATGGCGTGAACCTGGGGATGGAGCTTTCAGTGAGCTGAGATCCTGCCACTGCACTCCAGCAGCCTGGGGGACAGAGCAAGACTCTGTCTCAAAAAAAATAAAAATAAAAAAATAAAAACTAGAAAGAAAATCAGCAAAGATGTAGAAGAGCTCAATAACACCATCAACCAACAGGATCAAATCCACATTTACAGGACACTCCACCCATCAATAGCAGAATACACATTGGCTCTTTTTTGTTGTTTTTCTTTTCCGGTTTTACTAGGTGCAAGGGGTACATATGCAGGTTTGTTACATGGGTAAATTGCGTGTCACAAGGGTTTGGTGTACAGATAATTTTAAAAGAATTTAAATTATACAAACTTTTCTCTGACTACAATGGAATCAAATTAGAAATCAATAACGGAAAGACAGCAGAGGAAAAATCATCAGCATAATACCCGATAGGTGCTTTTTCAATCATCACTGTCCTCCCACCCTCCACCCTCAAATAGGCCCCAGTGTCTATTTTTCCCATCTTTGTGTCCATGTGTATGCAATTAGCTGGTTTTTTGCTCCTGCGGTAATTTGTTTAGGATTATGGCCTCCAGTTCCATCTATGTTGCTGCAAAGGCCATGATCCCATTTTTTATAGCTGTGTAGTATTTCATGGTGTATATGTACCACATCTTCTTTATCCAGTGCACTGTTGATGAGCACTGGATAAAGAAATCTAGGTTCATTCCATGTCTTTGCTAACGTGAATAGCAGTGTGATGAACATGCATGTGCATGTGTCTTTATGACAGAACAATTTATATTCTTTTAGGTATATACCCAACAATGGAATTGCTGGGTTGTATGGGAATTTTGCTTTAAGTTCTTTGAGAAATCTCCAGACTGCTTTCCACAGTGCCTGAACTAATTTACATTACCCCCAATAGTGTACAAGTGTTCCTTTTTCTCCACAACCTTGTTAGCACCTGTTGTTTTTGACTTTTTAACAATAGCCATTCTGACTGGGGTGAGATGGTGTCTCATCATTGTTTTGATTTGCATTTCCCTAATGATTAGTTATACTGAGCATTTTTTTCACATGCTTGTTGGCCGCACAGAATATACATTCTTTTGAAGTGTCCATGCAACATATACCAAGTTGGACTATATCCAGGGCCATAAAACAAATATTGATAAATTTAAAAGAATATAAATTATACAGAATGTGTTCTCTGACTACATTGGAATCAAACTAGAAATAAATAACAGAAAGATGACAGAGGAAAGTCAAGAAACTAAGCGAAAACTTTTAAATACTCTACGAGTCAAAAAATAAATCTCAAAGGAAATTTAAAAATACACTGAATTGAAAGAAAATAAGAATACAACATATCAAAAATTTCTAGGAGAGACAACCCACAGAATGAGAGAAGATATTTGCAAACTACCCCTCTAACAAAGGATTAATAACTAGAATATATAAGGAGTTCAGACAACTCTATAGGAAAAAAGAGTTCAATAGTCCAAACAAAAAATGAGCTGATCTGAATAGACATTTCTCAAAAGAAGACATACAAATGGCAATCAGGCTTATGAAAGGTGCTCAACATTATGAATCATCAGAGAAATGCAAATCAGAAGTTCAATGAGATATTATCTCACTTCAGTTAAAATAGCTTGTATGCAGGCTGGACACGGTGGCTCACACCTGTAATCCCAGCACTGAGGGAGGCCGAGGCGGGCAGATCACCTGAGGTCAGGAGTTCAAGACCAGCCTGGCCAATATGGTGAAACCCTGTCTCTACTAAAAATACAAAAATTAGCTGGGCATGGTGGGCCATGCCTGTAGTCCCAACTACTTGGGAGGCTGAGGCAGAAGAATCGCTTGACCCTGGGAGATGGAGGTTGCAGTGAGCAGAGATTGGGCCACTGCACTCCAGCCTGGGCAACTGAGTAAGACTCCATCTCAAAAAAAAATGGCTTGTATCCAAAAGACAGGCAATAACAAGTACTGGTGAGTATGTGGAGAAGGCTTTGTACACTGTTGGCAGGAATATAAATTAGTACAACCACCATGGAGAACAGCTTGGAAGTTCCTCCAAAAAAATTAAAATTGAGCTACCATATGATCCAGCAATCCCACTGCTGGGAATATACCCGAAAGAAAGAAAATTAGTATTTCAAAGAGATATCTGCACTCCTATGTTAATTGCAGCATTGTTTACAATAGCTAAGACTTCGGAGCAACCTAAGTGTCTATCGACAGATGAATGGATAAAGAAAATGTGGTACATACATACAATGGAGTACTATTTAGCTAGAAAAAAGAATGATATCCAGTTATTTGCAACAACATAGATGGAACTGGAGATCATTATGTTAAGTGAAATAAGCCAGGTACAGAAAGACAAACATGACATGTTCTCATTTATTTGTGGGATCTAAAAATCAAAACAATTGAACTAATGGACATAGTGAGTAGAAGGATGGTTACCAGAGCCTGAGAAAAGTAGTGGATAGCTGAGCGGGGAGGTGGGGATGGTTAATGGGTACAAAAAAAGTAGAAAGAATGAATATGACCTACTATTTGATAGCACAATAGAGTGACTATAGTCAAAAATAACTTAATTGTATATTTTTAAGTTACTTAAAGAATGTAATTGAATTGTTTGTAACTCAAAGGATAAATGCTTGAGGGAATGGCTACCCCATTCTCCATGATTTGGTTATTTCACATTCCAGGCGTGTATCAAAACATCTCATGTACCCCATAAACATATACACCTACCATGAACCCACGAAATATTTTCAAAATAATAAAAAAAATTATAGGACACAGCTAAACCAGTGCTGAAAGGGAAATTTATAGCATTAAATGCATACATTAAAAAGAAGAAAAACTGGGTGCTACTTGGGAGGCTGAGGCAGGAAAGGATCACTTGAGCCCAGTAGTTCGAGGCCAGCCTGGGCAACATAAGGAGACCTTGTCTCTTTAAAAAAAAAAAAAAGTACACAAATTAATAATTCAAACTCTCATCTCAAGAGCCCAGAAAAAGAAGATCAAAATACATCCAAAGAAGAAAGGAAGGCCGAGCACTGTGGCTCACGCCTGTAATCCCAATAGTTTGGGAGGCCAAGGCAGGTGGATCACTTGAGCTCAGGAGTTAGAGACCAGCCTGCCCAACATGGTGAATCTCTGCTTCTACTAAAATTACAAAAAATTAGCCAAATGTGGTGGCAGGCGCTTGTAGTCCCAGCTACCTGGAAGGTTGAGGCAGGAGAATCACTTGAGCCCAGGAGGCGGAGGTTGTAGTGAGGTGAGATTGCACCACTGCACTCCAGCCTGGGCCACAGAGTGAGACACAAAAAGTTGCTTCTTTGAAAAGATCAGTCAACTGATGAACCTCTAGCAGACTACACTGACAAAGAAGAAAGAAAGAATATAGAAATGTCCACAGGGAATATCCCTACACACCCTGCAGACATCGGAAAAACATAAATGGTGCTGGAACAATTGAACATTCAAGGGCCATAGGAGGAGAGAAAGACAACAAGGAGGAAAAGAAGGAGGAGCAGCAGTTTAATCTAAGACTCATACCTTCTGCAAAAATTGACTCAATATGGATTACAAACTTCTATGCAAAATGTAAAACTATAAAACTTTTAGAATAAGATAGGGGAAAATCTTCTGAATCTAGATCTGGGCAACAAGTTCTTAGATTTGACACCAAAAACATGATCTGTAAAATGAAAAAATGGATATATTAGACCTGATTAAAACTAAAAACTGTTGCTCTGTGAAAGACTTGTAAAGGAATGAAAAGGCAAGCTACATAATGGAAGAAAATATTTGCAAATCATGTATCCAACAAAGGACTAGTATCTAGAATATATAACAACTTATCAAAACTCAGGCCAGGCCCCCTGGCTCATGCCTGTAATCCCAGCACTTTGGGAGGCTGAGGCGAGTGGATGACTTGAGGTCAGGAGTTTGAGACCAGCCTAGCCAACATGGTGAAACTCTGTCTCTACTAAAAATACTAAAAATTAGCTGGGCGTTGTGGCACACGCCTGTAATCCCAGGAGGTAGAGGTTGGGGTGAGCCGAGGTCATGCCACTGCACTCTAGCCTGAGTGACAGAGTAAGACTCCATCTCAGAAAAAAAAAGAAAAAAAATCAACAGTTTGAAAAAAATTAATTAGAAAATGGGAAAAATTCATGAAGAGACATTTCATTAAAAGGATATACAGATGGCAAATAAGCACATGAAAAGATGTTCGATATCATTAGCCATTAAGGAAACGCAAATTAAAACCACAATAAGATCTCACTACACACATATTAGAATGGCTGAAATAAAAAATAGTGACAATAAGCCAGGCGCAGTGGCTCATGCCTGTAATCCCAGAACTTTGGGAGGCTGAGGCAGGCGGATCATGAGGACAGGAGATTGAGACCATCCTGGCTAACATGGTGAAACCCCATCTCTACTAAAAATACAAAAAATTAGCCGGGCGTGGTGGCGGGCGCCTGTAGTCCCAGCTACTTGGGAGGCTGAGGCAGGAGAATGGCGCGAACCCGGGAGGTGGAGCTTGCAGTGAGCCAAGATCGCACCACTGCACTCCAGCCTGGGCAACAGTGCAAGACTCCATCTCAAAAAAAATAAAAAAAATAGTGACAATACCAAATGCCTGTGAGGATGCAGTAAAACAATCACTCGCACATTGCTGGTGCAACCACTCTGGAAAACACTTTGACAGTTTATTTAAAAAACTAAAAATGCAACCACCATACAATTCAGCAGGTACACTCCTGGGCATTTGCTCCAGAGACATTAAGACTTATGTCCACACAAAAACTTATATTCATATCAGCCAAATCTGGAAACAACCCAGATGTGATGGACAGATGGCTAAACTAACTGTGCTATACCCATACCATATAATACAACTAGGCAATAATAAATTATTGATATATGCAACAACCTTGTATGATCTCCAGAGAAATACATTGAGAGAAAAAAAAGTCAATCCCAAAAGTGTATATACTATATGTTTCCATTTATTAATCATTTGTTTTAAAATGACAAAAAAAAATTTGTCTTGAAGTGACAAAGTCATAGAAATGGATAAGAGATTAGTGATTGCTAGACATTAAGGAGGGTATGGGATGGTAGGGAAGTGGGTGTGTCTAGAAAAGGGCAAGGTGAAGAATCCTTGTGATCATAGAAGTGTTCTGTATTGTGGCTGTATCCATGTATCCTAATTGTGATATTGTACCATAGTTTTGCAAAATGTTACCATCAAGGGAAACTGGGTAAAGGATACACAGGATTGTTTTTATTATTTCTTACCACTGCATGTGAATCTACAATATACAGCAAAATTTATACTTAATGGAGAATATTTAGGTTTATTTCCTTTAAGAGTAATGCTCATTATCACCCTACTGTTTGACACAGCATTGAAGATCCTAGTCAACAACATGAAAAATAAAACACTAAGGATTAAGAGGGAAAACACAAAACAATGCTCGCAGATGATACTATTATCTACCTGGAAAAAGAGAGAGACAGAGAGAATATCAATAACAACAATGACAACAACAACAACAAAAACCCCACTAAAACCAATAAGAGGATCGAGCAAGGTTGTCCCATATAAGATCAACTTACAAAAATTATTAATTTCTAATATTTGAAAATCATATATCAGTATTTGAATATCATATATCCAATAAAGGGTTAATATTCAGAATATGTAAAGAACTCATAAAACCCAACAATAATTGTTTATACAAACAGTTAAAAAGGGGGCAACAAACTTCAACAGACATTTTTCCAAAGATGATATACAAGTGGCAAACACACATATGAAAAGATGCTCAGCATTACTTATTATTAGAGAAGTGCAAATTAAAACCATAACATCATCTAATTCTCATTAGCATGGCTACTATAAAAATGAAAGGAAAAAGGAAAGAAGGGAGGGAATGAAGGAGGGAGCAAATGAAGGAGGAAAGGAAAGAAGGAAGGAAGGAAGGAAGGGAGAGAGGGAGGGAAGAAATAAGTGTTGGTGAGGATGTAGAGACATTAGAACCTTTATATGCAATGTTCGTGGGATTGTAAAATGTGTAACTGCTATGGGAAACAGTACGGCAGTTCCTCAAAAAATCAGTAGTAAAACTACTATATGACCCAAGAGTCCACTTCTGGGTATAAATGCAAAAGAATTGAAAGCAGGGACTTAAGCAGATATTTTCCCCCATATTCATAGCAGCACTATTCTCGATAGCCAAGAGGTGGAAGCAACAAAGATGTCCATAGACAGATGAATGGGCAAACAAAATATGGCATATACATACAGTAGCTTATTATTCAGCCTAAAAAGGAAGAAAGCACTCTTACATGCTGCAACAAGTATGAATTTTAAGGACATTAAGCTAAGTGAAATAAGCCAATCGCCAAAAGACAAAAACTCCATGATTGCACTTGTACAGGGTATCTGAAGTAGTCAGATTCATAGAAACAGAATGTAGAGTGATAGTAGCCAGGGGCTAGAGGAAGAGAGAAATGAGGAGTTGTTGTTTAATGGGTGTAGAGTTCTGGTTTTGCAAGGTGAAAAGGAGTTCTGGAGATTGGTTGCACAAAAATGTGAATATACTTAACACTGCTGAGCTGTACACTTCAAAGTGGTTAAGACGGTAAATGTTATTTTTTTAACCACAATTTTTTAAATTAGATACATTCTTCTACATCAGAAATTACTGATTCAAAAGTAGAATTGCAATAAGATACCAATCACAATAGCAGCAAAAGCTACAACATGCCTAAGAATTAACTGAGCATACTCAGGACTACTATGAAAAAGTAAAGTTTAAAAACCATAATAAAGAGCAAACAAAATGATTTCAATAAATGAGAAAACATCCTGTTTTTGCATGGTATGATTTAGTAATAAAAACAAGTCAGTTAACCCCAAATTTCTATAAATTCAGTATAACCACAATCAAAATTCAAGTGGGGAAGACAGAACTAGAAGTGAGTGTCCTCCCAAACTCCCCAGTAGGAAACTACAAACTTAGTTTCTGTTGCTACTATGCGCTTGTCATTGTCCAAGGCCAAAAGAAGCCCAGATTTTGCACCTCTCTCTCCACCCCACAACATTGACGTTTTTCCTTCTTGTTGTGAATGTACTTCCTGTCCTCCATCTGTCCTTCTGGACCCACTCTCAATACTTCTGCACCTGGGGTCTGCCTCAGGTGCTGACCTGCATGACATTGAATGGCTCCCATGCTCCCTGGCTTCTTCTTGCTTCCAGCATCAGCCTAAGAGCAGAGGGAAGAGGGGAGTGAGGTCAGTGTTTCTAATCCCTTGGCTTCCTCCCTACAAGGTCACCTTAAGCTGTTGTGTCCCTTGACTGAAGGGCACTGCCCTTGGCAAGGTGGTGACTGTACAGGGCTTGCTGTCCTTCTGAGTCCTGATAACCCCTTCTGTCCCTGGCCTCTTTGGACCTTGGGGTAGTAACAGCTATCCTCCACCCAGTTCTTTGTAAATACTTTGCTAATAAATAAACTTTCCTTGAAATGTCCTATTTCGAGTATGCCATCTGTTTTCTGTTGAGACTCTGATACAATAAAAGCCATTTCTTTATTCCCTGCCCCAGACCAGCACGGCCAGGGGCCTCTTGGAAGCCTCATATGAAATGGAAGAGGAAGGGTCTGGAGAAACAAGGAGCCCCCCATCTGGGAGTAGTCTCTATAGGTTTGGGGCCTCTCCACTCTCTGAAACCCCTGGAGACTGGTCTGGCCAAGTAGTGGCAGGAAGCACCACGGAGAAATCCCCCATGCCTTGCTTCAAGGCAGTTGGAGGGCTCTTGGGAATGACAGACACTCAAGCCAAAAAAAAAAAAGGATTTGAGGATGGGGTTGAACTCCACCCTCGTTTTTCATCTGATTTGCCCAATTTTACTTTGGAAAGAGAAAAACTTGAGAAAATGGCCTAAAGATAATTTTCATAAATAGACATTGGGATTAAATGTCAATCTTGTCTGTTTCTTTCACATGCATGTGTTCGTGGGTAGGGAGGCAAAGAGAACCTGGAACCTAGGAACATGCTCTCCCTCAGGGAAAAAAAAAATGCCAAGGATACCACCTCCCGTGGTGTATTTGAGATTTATTCTCATTGTCTTTAATGGTCAAAAGAAGAAGCTCAAATGTGGGGTCAACGCGTTTCTCTAAAATATTGTTATCTGCCCCAAGTGTTGAAGGAACTCCCTGCACTGTGTGTGCCCTTGTTAACACAGGCCCAGTTCTTTCATGGGAGGGGAGGTGGACTAGATGACCTTTAAAACCAATTCTAGCTCCAAGTTCAGCTTTTAAAACAACAAGACATTGAAGGGCGAAAACAATTCTTTGTGCAGCTTGGATTATGTATAACCCGAAAGTCCAGCTCTCTCTCTCTTCCCCCGCTCCCCTCCCTCCCTCTCTCTATGTCCCTCTCCTTCTTTCTCCCACTCCACTTCTCTCCTCTCACCCTTTTGCTCCCTCTCTCTTACTCTCTTCCACTCCTTCTCTTTTTTTCCTCTCTTTCTCTCACATGTGCTCAAGTGCACACACACACACACACACACACGCACTCCTTTTTTGGCAATCCATTATGTTTACATTCCATTCTCCTCATGCAGCATCCATTCTCTTCTCCTCATCCTCCTACAATTGGTGCACCATCACCCTTCTTCCACCTTCCTTTCAAGTACCACTCATTCCCCTGTGTAAGAACTCCCCTTTCTACCTATAGTATTCTGACTTTCTGGATCCTAGCAGACCTACATATACTTTTCCCTATTCCTTACCTGGAAGGGGACAGCCTTTCCTATAAAACAAAAAACCTACAAAGTTAGGGCAGAGAAAAGCCTGCACTGGGAATCTCTAGAAAAGGAACTGGAAGCCGTCCCATTAGCTAACTCTCTACTTCCTTTCTCTGGGATCCTGCCACTTTGATTCCCACTGCTGTGACTAGAACTAGACCCTTCAGATCTGCAGCTTCTCCTTTAAAACTGTCCAGATAGGCCTAGTGCGGTGGCTCACGCCTGTAATCCCAGCACTTTGGGAGGCTGAGGCAGGTGGATCACTTGAGGTCAGGAGATCGAGACCAGCCTGACCAACATGGTGAAACCCCATCCCTACTAAGAAAATACAAAATTAGCCAGGCATGGTGGTGCACGCCTGTAATCTCAGCTACTTGGGAGGCTGAGGCAGGAGAATCGCTTGAACATGGGAGGCAGAAGTTGCAATAAGCCGAGATCACGCCATTGCACTCCAGCCTGGGCAACAAGAGCAAAACTCTGTCTCGAAAAAAAATAAATAAATAAAATAAAAATAATAAATAAAACTGCCCAGATATAGACAAGGCCCAAAGCCCCCCATTCCTAGACTAAACTAGAATTTCAAAAGGAATTTGCTTTGTCAAACAAACAAAAATAAAAACAAAAACAGTGAATAGAAAAAAATGAAAATGAAACATAAAAATGGTAAAATGTAGAGATTAAGTTCCTTCCACTGACTTCTTCTGTTAACCCCTTCCAGAAGAGATGCTCTAATTCCAAGGATGCTTCTGAAGAAATTATGGAGGTGTTCCAAATCAACTCATTTCTTGGTTTCTTTTTCTTACCCATATTCTAGTATCTAGCTCTAATTCCAAAAACAATTCCACACCCTAGGTTTCTGTGTCCAGCAGGTGTCGCCCTTCGTGGGACAACAAACCACCAGCCAGCATCCTCTCTTCCTTAGGGTGGAGTCCATTCCCCCAAAGGGCTCTCCTTGGTCTTGGGGTAGAAGGGAATGGAACGGTGGCTCTGAAGAGATGTGTGCTCACCAGCATGAGGGTCTTCAGAATAAAGTAATCTGCTACTTCCAGCTCAGGTAGACAAACATCCTACAGAAATCTGTTCTTTGACCTTGGACAAGTCACTTAAATGTCTCTGAGCCTCACATCTTTTGTCTGTAACATAGAGGGAAACAATCTGTCCCTTGTGTGGTTATTGTGAGAAGAGAATGAGCTACAAATATAAAGGTCTGAGACCAGTGCCTAAGACATAATAATCACTCAAGCTATGTTCCCTTCTGCATTCAGGGTATGGAAGAAATAACTGTCTAGAACTCAATCTGGAGTTAAGCTCTGTCCCCTGAATCCTGAGGGGTATGAGAGGTCTGCCTTACGGTTGTGATGAGGATCAAAGCACCTGGTACAATGCCTGGCCAGAAAGTTGAATAATCGAATATAGCTAACGTCACTATTGCAGGCTGGCTATGTGCCTGGCGGTGTTCTTAGCCATTTACAAGTATGAACTCATTTAATCCTCATAAGATCCTGTATGAGGTGAGTAAGCTGTTAATTCCCTTCCTTGCCCATACTCTGTGACTCCAACCCACCACAGTTGAATTTCTCCTTATGAATTATAAATCAGAAAACGGCCCCAAATTCTGTCATGTCTAAGTGGGAAAATGGAAGAAGGCATTGATTTCTCCCCTACTCAAGCAGAAGAGAATTAACCTCAGTCCCTGCTTTGCCCATATTCCTTCCCCAGGGCCCCAGGAAGAAGACATGGAAAAACAATATTTCCACCAAAGTTTATTTCTCTGAAACAATCACCAGTTGCTGTCCTCTATGGCACACTGAGAGCCCCAGGAGGGTCTTTAACTCCCTTCCTCAGATTATATTCATCCCAGAAATATAGCCTTGGACAATAATTTGGTTACAGCATAGTCCCAGGAATGAGGTCCCCCAAGTTGCTAAGTTTTACATAGGGGAGACTGGGAAATTCAAAGAATTGGATGGAGAAACCATAGGATCCAAGATAATGTCAGGGGGTTGAAGATGTTGGAGAGGCATGGTAGCATCATTGAGTTTGAATCTCCTTCTCACTTGGAGTGGAAGTTGTAGGATTCTGCCTCTAGGAAATGTGCCATCCTACAGAATAAATAAAAGGGAGATAATGAGGCTTCAACCCAACTTGCCCCCATCGTTTGTCACTGTAACCATCCCATGCCTTAATACAGTGATACTGAAAACTCCAGGGCACCAACAACTAATACAAAGGAAGCACCTTCAGCCTCCTCTCCACAGACATCCCACTTGGTAGAAGAGGAGGATGCTCCTTCCTGCTCTTAATCCTAGCAATGGCAGCTTAAATCATGCCCTTGCCTAGATCCTCATGGAAGCTCACCCATATAATAATCAAGATTAGTTGAACCCAACACTGACCCCTCTAACCCGCACCCCTACCAAAGGGCAAGTAGGGAAACAGACCAACAGAGATGTTACCTTCTGAATAATTGGACCCAGGAAGAGGAGTGTAACCTAAGAGAGGAAGATACTTGATTATACCAGTCTTTGTGGATGAAAATATCTAGCAGTATTCATAGCAAATGCAGTAGGAAGGAGAGAGTTAATCACAAACAGAAAGTAAGCAGAGAGTGGGACCAAGAGTGGGGATGGGAGTTCAGCGAGTCACTCACTAGAGTGGCCAGCTCTCCGCCAGCTGATCACACCAAGAGAGAAGATGATGAGGCCCAGGCCCAGAGTCACTGCAGACACAGAAACCTTCAGGGTCTGCATGGGGGACAGCCCAGGTGCTGCAAAAAATAGAAACTTACTTGACCCAGTTTCTGTTGCTCACCCCCAGGGCAATTCCATTTATTGCAGCCACCTCTCAGTGGGTTAAAAGGTCCTTTATCCCAGCTCCAAGGGTCTAGCTCACACCACCCACTCCCAAGAAAATGATCTTTCTCAAATCAAACCCTCGTCCCATGGACCTCTACTCCTAGAGTAAGCCTGGGGAACCCATCTCCCCAGAATTAGCATCCTGGCTTCCAGGTCCTCTCTAATACAGTGGGGCCTCTCAAGGCATCCTCTTTCCTTCCTTTACCCCAAAGCCACCCTTATCAGGATAAAGGGCTCCTCACTGTCCTCTCCATTGCCCCCACGGTAACAATGTTTGCTTCCTTACTTTCTCCAACTGAGCAGCTTCCTATTACACTGTCTTACCACATGTCTTAACCTCCAGTGGATCCATCCTGTGAGTTATCCTACTACTTGTGTACCTTCTACATCTAGATCTCCCATGTGTCCTTTCAGAGCTTGTCTCCATCCCACTCCACAGCCCCTGCACTTCCTTGGGCCGGTCCTGTTCTGAATCATGTCCCACTCAGATTCTTTTCCCATGATAAAATGAACACTCCATTTCCAAAGGGAGGCTCTTGTGCACGCTGTGAGGAGACGTTCCCCAGGAAAGTTCAAGTGAGCATGTGATTTCCACTCTCTTCTCTGTTCTCCATTCCCTTCCCAACTGCCCAGCAAGAAACAACACTTCCCACAAGGGGAAACCTGGTTACAGCAGCTGATCTGAGATCCTGTTCTCTGGCCCTTTGTAGACACCCTTCCTCTTCCTCATTTCTTCCTCTTTCTTTTCCAAGAGTCCCCAAAGCTGTGTGCAACTTCTCACGATACCTTTAACTACTCCCGACACTGAGTTCAAACAGTGTTTGAACTGTAAGTAATTCTTTATCCACTGGCCCCTGAGCATGCATGCCAAATGGTCTGCCAGCCGTGGCTTTACTACTCCCGTATGCTTGGTAGAGCAGGCCAAATGCAGTACTGCCCCACACCAAGAAAAGCCCCCCTTCTTCAACCTTCATCATTCCTTCAGCTCCCATCTGCTTCTGGCACCAGAATAGTTGAAATCTAAGGAGGCTAGAATAGTGTATTACAATTTGGGGTTCTGAAAATATGATTGCCAAATTTACAGCCTCATTTCAAAGCAAGCACGCTCCCCTCTCACCCTCAAACATAGACGCAGCAACATCAGCCACACCACCAGAGCAGCAATAGCACAGACTAAATATTAAACTGGTGCAAAAGTAATTGCGGTTTTTGCCACTGAAAGTAATGGCAAAAACTGCAATTACTTTTGCACCAACCTAAATATTTCCATTTCTTTATCCCATTTCCCCATTCTGGTCCTAAGCCCCCCGTAAGTTCCTCCAGACTCAGTCCCCATTTTCAGCACTTCGCTGTCTACCATGTACCATGTATCGATCCACATCTCATTTTCTCTGCTTTGACCCTAATTCCATCCATCTGCCATACACTTACTCCAGTCCCGAAGGATGGGCTCAGGAGCCCCAGTGTGCTCTACCACACAGGTGTAAGTGTCCCCGTAAGAGGGGGTTAAGGCTAAATGGGAGAGGGTCTGGTATGTCCAGTCTCCATTGGGCTGGGCAGTCTTGTGCGCACTGCTGTGAGGCATGACAAGCTTCCCGTTCTTCCTCCACGTGATAGTCACTTCTGCTGGATAGAAGCCCCACACATAGCAGGCCAGCATCACAGGCTCCCTCGTGTTAAAAGGAGTGGTTTTGGCTACTTGCACAGATGGTGGCCCTGCATAGGAGAAAAAAACATGTTTAGGAAGGAGGGTGACATTCTGGCTGCTTCCTCAACCTGGTTTCTTCCCTATCGCAACTCTTCGTAGATTTTGCAACCCACTTTCCACCCCAGCCCCCTCTGCCATGCTGCCCCTTGAAGGGGAACCGTTAGAATGTATTCCTGCATTACTCTTTCTTCTCTCCCATTCCTTCATTGCCCCTTTCTTTCTTTCCTCCTCCAGAATTATGTTTGATTACAATTAGTAAAAGCCAGATCTGAACTGCAAGCTGTTCTAGAAGTTGTTGTATTTATTTCAAGTACATAAACTGGAAAGTATTTGAAATAAGGAAGCTAAGAGTAATCCAGAGTTGTACATTGGGTTTTTTTAAGGTGGAAAAGGAATTTTTCTCCAAATCTTGTTTAATACGTTCTTTTGCTAGTTAAAGCTTTTTCTCCTCACATAGTTCAAGGAAACAAGCCTAACTTAGGACTCACTCTTAAATTTGGAATGAATGTAGTCAAACTAATGAGATTGCTAATACTGCCATCTTTTACTAATTTACTCTCCTAGGTGATCCTCTTGCTTGCCTCTATCTTGACATTTTTCAAACACAATCTTAAATAAAAATCCAAGGAATTATGTTAAAATGCAGATTTCCTAGGCTGTATCCCCAGATACTTTCTTTCAACAGATCTGGAGTGGTACTAAGGGGCTTGCATCTTTAACAAGCACCTCCTCCAGGCAATTCTGAGAAAGGTGGTTCAGAAACCACCCTTGAGACACACTGTTCTGTACTGTGGAGATCTTCAAGTTTACTTTCACAAACTTCAAGCCATTGTCAATGCAAGAGTTTAAGGGTGAGAAAAAGCATGTGTCAGAATCCCCTGGGATTCCAAATATTCCCATGCCTGGGCCCACATCAGATCTGGAACATCAAAATCTGGGATAACAAGGCAAGAACATCTTGGGTATGCATCCTGAGATGCCCCAGCCTCTGCATAAGCTCCCCACATGGCACCTCGCGGTTCAAGCCTCACCTCCCCTTCTTTACTCCTGTTCCACTCACGTCAGCCACCTTGTTCCCCTTGAGGTTCAATCCTCCGTCTTTCTACATTTCAGATCCACACATTTTCTCTTATTTGCTGCTCAAATCTCAAACCCCTGGGCCACTGTGGGATCCTCCCTGGCCTGCCCTCCTAACTGCACTTCCTGGTAGCCCCTCTGCACCCCTCTCTCCTCACGTGTCCTGTTGGTCAGTGATCCCCAGAAGGGCTGGGTGTGTGTGGCACAATTCTGAAGCCCATTGCGCAAGCGCTGCATCAGGGTGTCTTTTTGGTTGAGGTGCTGTGAGAGGACATTCGCCAAGCTATTCAGCACCCCAAATTCGCAAGGGGCCATCTTATTCTCCTCTGGATCCCAGCAGGTCAGCAGATCCTTGTTGAAGGAGATGCAGTATGTGAAATCCTTTGGAGTCCCAGCATCATCCAACAGACAGGTGCTTTCCACATGGGCCACGAAGCCACCTAGAGGAGCCAGGGAAGGGAGAACAGGTCAATGTCTTCTACTGGCCTGGCAATAAATAAATAAATATATAAATAATAAATATACACAAATAATAAATATATAAAACATACAGACGTATATTTAGGAGCTCTGCACAGAGCTTTGTCTTTGACCCTGGTTCCTGACATAGAGTGCCTAATCGCTTAGAATTTCCTAGATAACAGGAGTGTCTTTTGTTCTAATGAGGTACTCTTGGTGGGCTCCTGCAGGAGGGGCTGGTCACCAGAAAGACCAAGTCATGATTAGAAGTCTGGAACTTTTAGTCCCATCCCCCATACTCCCTGAAGGGGAAGGGGCTGGAGATTGAGTTAATAATCAGTCATGCCTACATGATGAAGCCTCCATAAAAATCCCGGAACTATGGAGTTCAGAGAACTTCTCAGTTGGTAAACACATCCACATGCCAGGAGGTGAAGTACCCCAATTCTGTGGGGACAGAGCTCCTGTGATTGGGACCCTTCCAGATCTGGTATCTCTTCATCTGGATGTTCCTTTGTATGCTTTAAAATATCCTTTGTTAAAGGATGCAAAATTATGATCTAGTGTTCTATACCACTGTGGGATGACTGTCATTAACAATAATACTTTATATCATTTCAAATCGCTAGAAGAAGGATATGGAATGTTTCCAACACAAAGAAATGATAAATGAGATGATGATCTGATCTGATCACTGTACATTACATGTACTAAAACATCATTATCCACCCCATGAATATTTATAATTATTATTATCAATTAAAATATCCTTTGTAAAAAATCTACAATAATAAGTAAACTTTTCCTGAGTTCCATAAGCCACTTTAGCAAATTACCAACCCCAAGGAGGGGGTCATGGGAACCTCTGATTTGTAGGCAAGTTGGACAGAAGATGTGGGTAATTTGGGAACCTACTACTTGTGATTGGTGTCTGAAATGGAGGCAGTCTTATGGGACTGAGTCTTTAACCTTTGGTGTCTATGTTAACTCTAGTTAATGTCACAATGGAATTGAATTATAGGATATCCAGCTAATATAGGAGAATTGGTTGGTATGAGTAAAAAAAAAAAAAAAACCTCACACAGTTGGTCAAAGAAGTGTTGAGTGTGAGCATATAGAAGAAAAAAAGTTGATTTTTCCTATATTCAGCTCAGAACCTAAGCCTTGGTGACATCCAGCTAGTCTGGCACAGATTTCCTGCTCAGGGAACATCTACTGACCAAGCTCATACACTGAAGTTTCTGAAAGTCTGATTTGAGGGAGTCAGTAGAAGTAGTAGATAAGTTTTTAGATCCAGTCTCCTCTTTATGCAAGACTAAGCACAGGGATAGGAGTAGCCCCCCGAGATTATTTGCATGTTTAAACATGACAATTTGCCCAGAACACAGACCTTCAGTAAGGCAAATTATTGAGAGAGAAAAAGGGTCAAGAGAAAGAGTCAGCCTTGTATTGTGCTGGAAATATTAAATATTCACTTCGCACATATTTATGAAGCACTTGCTGCATGCAAGGCACTGTGCTAGGAGCTGAGGAGGCAGCAATAAATAAGATGAACATTGTCCTTGCCTATATTCCAGCAGGGAATATACACTGCACAGATAATTATACAGATTAATTACATTAAAATTGCTACAAAGTACAAAGTGCTATAGGAATGTATACCAGGGAGACAAACTATCTGGGGTGTCAAATGCAATTACAAAACGGAACACCCTTACCCTGAAACAGGAGCAGGGGAAGGGAGAGTCCCCAGAAGAAGTGTCCTTACCTGCTCCTGTGCAGCCCAGGCTGAGCCCCAGCAGCAGCGGCAGGAATGTGATCATGCTCTGCTCTGTAAAGATGCCGGGAGTTCAGTCCCCTGGACCAGCTCTTCCAGGGTCCGTGGGTCCTCGCCTGTCCCAGAAGCCCCAGCCTGGGTAGATGATCTCCAGACACTGAGCAGAATACTATATTGCCCGGGTCCCTTGACCCCCCAAATGAGTGATGTGGGGATACCCAGCCCCTAGATATTAAATCTGTTCCTTCCAGCTCACGGGAGTCCAGTGTCCCAAACAGGGACAGATTGGCTAGGTAGGCAGGGACAAATGTAGAGACAAATCACTGAGTGCCTCAGCCTAGCATCATCAGTTACTAGGTAAACGTCATCCTGCCTTAGTCTTAGACAACAGGTCTCCTTGTCTCTCTTAATTCTTTTTCTGCAGAACAACCAGTAGATTTCCGTAGATTACTGGAGAGAATAATCGCAATATTCCCAGGATGTATGCAGCCTGGGCTGCCCACTGGTTTAACTTTTTCTTCTCAATGCTCTCCCAAAAGACCAGGACCAGATAACCTCTCCTATTCCTTACAGGGAGGTTACCCAAGAAGATAATTACAAAAACCCTTGTCTGTCCTGAGATGAGAGGACCCAGAGCCCTTCTGGGGCAGGTGGCAGAGGCAGGGCTGCTGAGAAGGAAGAAGGCACAGACAGAGTACAGAATTGTCTGGTCTCAAAGCAAGACTGCAGAATAAGGGAAGCAGCGCCACCATGGAGATCAGGAATAGGGGCCTGGAAAATCCCTCCATGGGCCTCCATTGTTGCTTCTGTTCTAGCCAGTCAAGCTTCATTTCCTCCTCAGTTATAATAGCTGCTTTCCGGAGCTAGTAAACCATATCCTCCTACACTCTGAGCAATCTCACGGGGTAGACCGCAGGTTAACACCTCTCAGACTCCTTGAAAAATAGCTGGTGACGGGTCAGTGCCCAGAGCTCACCTGCCTTTCGCCAAACTCCAAACACCCCTGTGTGTTTCCCCTACTATACCCTGTTCCCTGGGGGCAGGTCCCTGCATTATGAAGCCACTAGGAAAATGAGATAAAGCTTTCCTACTTTTCTTCCCCTGAAAAGACAGATTTTGTTTTTTATTTTTTGAGAATACCAAGTAAGATTTTATTTTTTATTTATTTTAAATTATTTTAACCTTTGTTTTAGGTTCAAGGGTACACATGCAGGTTTGTTATATAGGTAAATTGTGTGTCATCGGGATTTGGCGTAAAAATTTATTTCATCACCCAGGTAATAAGTATAGTATCTGATAGGTAGTGTTTTGATCCTCTCCCTCCTCCCATCCTCCACCCTCAAGTAGGGCCCAGTGTCTATTATTCCCTTTTTTGTGTCCATGTGTACTCAATGTTTAGCTCCCACTTATAAAAGTGAGAACATGCAGTATTTCATTTTCTGCTCCTGTGTTAGTTTGCCTAGGATAACAGCCCCCAGCTCCATCCATGATGCTGCAAAAGACGTGATCTCGTCCTTTTTTGTCTGTGGAGTATTCCATGGTGTATATGTACCACATTTTCTTTATACAGTCTACTGTTGGTGGGCATTTAGGCTGATTCCATGTCTTTGCTATTATGAATACTGCTGCAGTGAGCATTCATGTGCATGTGTCCTTATGGTAGAACAATGTATACTCCTTTGGGTATATGCCTAATAATGGGATTCCTGGGACGAATGGTAGCTCTGTTTTAAGGTTCTTGAGAAATTGCCAAACTGCTTTCCTCAATGGCTGAACTAATTTATGTTCCCACCAGCAGTGTATAAGCCTTCCGTTTTCTCTGCAACCTCTCCAACATTTGTTATTTTTTGACTTTTTAATAATAGCCATTCTGACTGGTGTGAGACGGTATCTCATTATGATTTTGATTTGCATTTTTCTAATCATTAGTAATGTTGAACATTTTTTCATATGCTTCTTGGTCACGTGTGTGTCTTGAAAAGGCAGATTTTATGTATTTGCGTATTTATTTTTTTCACAGGTTTTTTTTTTGAAAGTCTCACTCTGTCGCCTAGGCTGGAGTACAGTGGGATAATCTCGGCTCACTGCAATCTTCGCCTCCTGGGTTCAAATGACTCTCATGCCTCAGCCACTTGAGTAGCTGGGGTTACAGTCATGTGCCACCACTCCTGGTTAGTTTTTGTCTTTTTTTTTTTTTTGGTAGAGACAGGGTTTCATCATGTTGGCCAGGCTGTTCTTGAACTCCTGACCTCAAGTGATCCACCCACCTCAGCCTCCTAAAGTGCTAGGATTACAGGCATGAGCCATCGTGCCTGGCCTGAAAAAGCAGATTTTAAACGGCAATTCATTCTTCTATCCCATTGTGAACTATACAGTTGATGGATTTTCCATCACTAACTTGAAACTCTAAATTGGCTTCCTTCTGCTCCCCAGTAGGTTTCAGGGCTGCCTCTTCACATCTTAGTTTCTGAGAACTCTTGGATTTTATTAAATAGTGAGCTAAACAAAAGAGGATTGTGGAAGGGGCCCCTTGACACCACACTTACCTGCCCTCCCTCAAAGTCCCTGATCTCAGGAAAATCTAACACTTATGAAGAAAATGGGGATAAAAAATGCATACAAAGATTATTACCAAAAACGAAAGATTCGTTGTGTAACTAATTGAGATTAACTGAAGCTCTGCCATAGCTCCCAGCCACTGCCCCCACTCACCTTGCTTATATACTCTAACTCTGCTAACGAACTGTCAAGTGTGTTGGAATGGGCAGAATATGGGGTGGGGAGTGCATAATCTGTAGAGCTTCTACAGATACAGTGCTAGGTAGGTCCTTTCTATAATATCTCATCTCATCTTAAAAGACTTGTTGGCCGGGCATGGTGGCTCACGCTTGTAATCCCAGCACTTTGGGAGGCTGAGGAAGGCATATCACCTGAGGTCAGGAGTTTGAGACCAGCCTGGCAAACATGGTGAAACCCCGTCTCTACAAAAAATACAAAAATTAGCTGGGTGTGGTGGCGCGTGCCTGTAATCCCAGCTACTCTGGAGGCTGAGGCAGGAGAATCGATTGAACCTGGGAGGTGGAGGTTGCAGTGAGCCGAGATCGTGCCACTGCACTCCAGCCTGGGTGACAGAATGAGACTGTCTCAAAAAAAAAAAAAAAAAAAAAAAAAACTTGTTAATTGTCCTCATTTCCCAGGTTGGAAAACAGGTCCAAAGATTCACACCCAAGGTCTAAAGGCTGTAACTCCTCTTCTTATACAGCTGTTACACATGCACATGTGTACACACACACACACATACACACTCTCTTGAGCATGCCCACACACTCACTACATCTTGGAACTGGGATGGCTCAAATAAAGGGAGTTAGTGAGGCCTCCGCTGAGAAAGAGAGAAAGAGAAGAGTCACAATCCATAACCCAATTCACCCAAGTCTTATCTTTCCTGTCCTCAGAGTTCCTTCTGCTCTGAGAACCACCGTCCCTTCCACTTTCTCTTTTGACAAGTTTCAAAACTGAATTTTCCCCCACACCCCCCCAATACATTTCCCCCTCACATTCCTCCCCATCCTGCCCAGGTAAGCTGTTAGCCTAACCTTATAGGAACCAAGTCCTGGGATCCTTTTCAATGTCTACAAAGCCTAGCCCTGGCAAGGGAGCACTGGCTGTGTGGTCCTGTGCCAGCACTGAACATGGCCCTAGCCAGTAACAGTGGGGCTGAATGTAGTTCCCTCTTATGTCTAGATCTCTGCTCCGGCAGTCAAAGGAGATGTGAAACCTTCTGTGAGGCCACAACAGGAAATGGTAGGAGAGGATTTCACTTCTCTATTAATTCAAACACTGAGGGAGCTTTTTAGAATAAAGAAGGACAGAAAACCCAGACACCTGTGCTCAGCAGTGTTTTCCTTCCTCTCCTCCTCCCAACCCTTCCATTTTTACAGATATAGCTCTGTCTTTCCACCTCTAGCCAATTCAAAATAACATTTCAGTTGCTCTGTCCATTGTTACTTATTTGTTAATTATTGATATAGCACCGGGACCGAAGAGGTATGGAGCCCCAACCAGGTTCCCACATGTTGCCTTTCTTTTATTGCCTCTACACAACCACCCAAAGAGTGAGTCCTCTCCTTTCCCATTGCCTCTGCCCTTAGCCTGACCACCACATGCCTGCAGTAAACTAGTCCCAGGGTTTGTGTGCAAAGCATTACTGGGAAAATACAGAGTGAGAAGATATGGATTCTGCCCCCATATCGCTTTGCTTGTACGTCAATTGGGGAGTGAGAACAAACACTTTAAATAGTTTATATTAAAGTAAGTAAGCAATAAGGCCAGTGGTCTTAAAAGAGAAGAGAGAAATCACCATGGACATGGTAGACAGGGAGTACTCTCAGTCGAGAGGGCCTGGAATGAGCCTTGAATACTGGGCTGGATTTGTGTTGGAGAGGAGGAAGGCAGTTGGCATTGTAGGTCTGGTGTATAGCTCCACAAGCTTGACAATGCTGTGAGGTGCCATCAGGGAGGAGGTGTCCTACGAGAGCCTGGGTTAGCTAAAACAAAGACAAGCTACAATAACGTCACTGGCACTGCACGTTGGAGGAAGTCACAAATGTGATTTCTTGTTTTTTTCTGAGAGTATGGCCATAATAATAAATCTCTTCTAGGCACTTCCTAAAGTTGCTCCATGTCAGTTCGCAGGTTCTTGGGGCAGACGGTTTTAACTGAAGTCTCCATTTTATAAACACAAAATTGCTCAACCAGTTAATCACGCCTCATAGCATAAGACCACATTCGTGACTTCAGTGTCTTTTCAAAACTACACACACCTACATCCTGCCAAGATTATATTACTTGCCCAATCTGTCCAATCCCCACCCCACCCCTGCCATCTACCCCTTACCTCACCTCCGCCCACACACACACCCTCCTACCCTGTCAGGATTCACTGCTCTAGACCCTGACCTTTGGATTATAGTTTCTGTAGTCAGTTCACCATCCTTCCAACCTACAGTCAAATTATTTGAACTACTAGGGATAGTCTATCTGATTTGCCACAACTATTTTTCCTTTTTTAATTTTATTTTTTGCCACCACAACTATTGAAGAATGCTATCTTCATCTTACCCACGAGAAAATGGAGGCAGAGGGAGGTTAAGTGGTTGCCCAGATTTACCCAGATACTAAGTAATAAAACCATTACTTGAACTCAGGATTTATTACTTTAAATCCTGTATTGCCAATAATCAATTGGAAAATAACTGAAAATTGCCTACTATTTATAATAACAATAAAAACCATAGCATATTTATGAATTAACATATCAAATATAAGAATTTTAAGAAAAAAGAAAACTTTATTGAAGTGCACAAAGACCTGAGAGGTGTAGAGATATACCATATTCATGGATAGGCCATGCTAACATAATGACAACCTCTCCCCACATCTCTAACCTAAATGCTACCCCAATTAAAGTAACAGTAGGATTTCAGGAGAATTTAACAAACTGATTATAGAATGTACATGGAAATAAAGTCCAAGAGTATCTTAGAATATTTTGATAAAGAAAAGGAAAATAAATTTTTTGGGAAGGTGGTGAAGGAATGGAGACTAGTTCTACTAAATAGTAACACATATTAAAAAGCCAAAATAATCAAACAATATGATACTGATTAGTAATGAGAGAAAAGCAAATTAAAACAACAAAATACCACTCTACACCCACCATGTTGCCAACATTTGAAAGTCAAATAATTACAAGCATTAATGAGCATAAAGGGAAATGTGAACTATCTTGCTCTGTTGATGGGAGTGTAAACTGTTTATGATCCCTGAATTATAGAAATTATAAACTAGTTGGGCGAAAAAATTAACATAGGAAATAAAGCGGCATATCCCAATCCTTAGGTTGAGTGCTTTAAGTCTTGGAAGATTTCAATAAAGAGAAATTAGGGGCAGGTTCATGGAATAAGTTGAACTGGAGTTGGACCTATGGAGTGGGTTAAGACAGGAACAAGATGAGCAGAATAAAGAAAGCATTCTTGTGAGAGGAAAGAGCCTGGGCAAATGCCCTAAACCAAAACCAGATATAATACCTCAAGGAAGAGTGAGGAAAAAAGATTTATTCAAGAATAGCATTCCTGCTGGGAATAGTGAGTAATATTTTTTATTAGAAAAGGGGCACCAGACTAGAGAGGATACTGAGTGCTTCTAGAGTACTTAAGTAACAGTATCATAGAAGGTTTCATCAGAGAGCATCTAATCTAAGCCCATCATTTTACAGATGAAGACTTTGAGGCCCAGAGAGGGGAAGTGACTTGTCTAAAGTCACACAGCATAATAAAGCACTTTTAAGTCTTGCCTGACAGGAAATATCTAGATAAGTTGGAAAACAGAGAGACAGAGAAATTAGGAAGAACTAGAAAGCACCACATCTAGAATTACTAACATGAGAATAAAAAGAAAAACATCTAAAATGGAGAAAATACAATACTTGAAGCTAGTATTGAGGTATATTTCAGAAAAGAGAAAGAAGTCTACGAGGCAACTAAGTTCTCCTCTGAAGATCAAGACCAATAATGATAAGGTTAGGTTATTCAGCACATTTTCTATGTGCCAAACACTATTTTAAGCATTCTGTAGGTATTAACTTATTTAAGCTTCACAGCATGAGGATATGCTGCCTTATTTCCTATATTAACTTTTTCACTCAACTAGTTCATAATTTCTGTAATTCGGGCATCATAAACAGTTTACATTCCCACCAACAGACCAAGATATTACAGTTCACATTTTCCTTTATCCTCGCTAATACTTATTTGACTTTCAAATGTTGGCAACATGGTGGGTGTAGAGTGGTAAGGGGGACACCATTGTTATCATCATCCTTTTACAGAAAATGACACCAAAGCACAAGTTAAGTAACTTGCCCAAGGGCTCACAGCTAAACGCTGACAGTTACGATTGAATCCCCAGCAGTCAGGTTCCAGAGCCCATGCTTCTTAACCGGTACACATGATGCTGTTAGAAATGAGATGGTTCAGAGACAGTGCAACTTCTCTTAGGGAGAATTTAATATTTTCTTTTAGATTAGACTCTAGTACAATGCCAAGAACAGAAACTCCCTCACCAAATAATTGCCCTCTCAACTTTATTGCCACCCTGTCATCCAAAGCAACTCCCAGACCCTAAGGAATGCAAGAAAGAAAGCATATGCAAAGCAATTTACCACCAGTGGTCATGTGCTGCCACCTTTCGTTATCTTCCCAGGACAGCACCTGTGCAGTTCTCCTTGGACAGTTCACTCAGGCCAAGGAACAGATTGTCAGGAAAGACATGTGAATTCTTTGCCCTTCCAGGCTGTTTTCACTTCATGTTAGGGGCTTCATGATACTGTTTTCCCAGAACTGACATAACTGATTGGTATAGCACTTGGGAGCTTATTCTTCCCATCCCTGAGCTTCTGTTTCTCAGTTACGGTGAGGGTTGAAGGGAGTTATATGTTCCTCAGGGCAGCCTATACGAGACATAAACATTTTCACAAACAGTAAAATACACAACACACACACACACGCACAAAACACACAAGCAGCTTCCTTAACCATTTTGTAAGCAGATTATTAGAAAATAACTCTGCCTTCGTTTCTCACATATTTTGCACAAACCGATAGATGGAAAAACATCATGTACCGCCAAGACCAGGGAATAAGAGCTCAGCTGGCAAATTAGGGGTTTTCCCTATTTCCCTCCCTAACGAGGTCAAGCTGTGTTCAGGTTAAGGCATGCTGAATTTGAAACGACAACCCACTCAAGTTGAGATATCCAGAAACAAATACCATGAGTTAAGAAAGAAGCCACACTGATATAAAGAAATGAGATTTATTGCCTTGTGGGGGGAAGGGATGTGGTTGTGATAGGCAGGCCACTCTGGGATCCCTGGGATGCAAGCCCAGGGACAGCAGAGTCCCCAGGTGGGAAATCTACACACACACCCCAGGGATGTCCCAGAGACTTCTTCTACCCTAAGAGGAGATCCTGGGCAGGATGTGAGAAATCTGAGCATCCTCTGTTTGGATGGCCGAAGCTGCTGGCATCAAACTCTGGTCTGGAAGAATCAGTCTGGGGGAGAGACAGGGATGGAGGAAAGGCATCAGGGGATCCATCCTCCTCCTCCTTCTCCTCCTCCTCCTCCCCCACAAAGGCCTTGCTCGCCCTGCCTGCACCACACCCTGCAGAAGTTGATCTCTCCTTGTTCCCAAATCATCTCCAAGCACCCTTCCTACAGCACCCCATGATTCCTTTTTTCACTCAAAGCAATTCTTGTGACCCATAACTGTGTGTGTGTAACTGGGTCCCCAACTGGGAAGATGTGCCCCCATGGTGCTGGATACAGGCCCCCACACCCAAGGGCCTGAGGATCGCTATATGTCCCCCCATGCCACAAAATAATCCTGACACATGCACGCATGCACCACTGTATCTGGCTCCCACAGGCTCACCCGCCCCCTCCAGATGACATACCACCTGAGCAAGGCTTCCGGAAGTAGATGATGAGAACAATGCCCACGATGATGCCCAGCACACCCAGGCCAAAGGCCACGCCACACAGCACATTCTCCAGCAGATCTGAGGGCAGTGCGTTCCGGGGTACTGGAGGAAATGAGTGGCTCAGCCTGGGGACCTAGTTAGGGAGCCTCCCACCCAGGGAAATGACGTGGGTGTCTGGGATGACATGGGAGACTGGGATGGGCTTAGGGTAGGAATGGACTAAACAAGGTACCAGTGGAGAAAGAAGCCTCCTCCCATGGATCTATCCCTTTTTGCCCCCAAAAGGACCAGAATTCCAGGGAGAAAGCCTCACCCCAATAGGCAATTGCTGTGTAGCGGTCAATTTCGTGAGTCACAATGCAGGAGAAAATGTCAGAAGGTTCTGGTGTGAAGTTTAAGTAAGAAAAGGCCTGGAAGCTGAGTCCATCGACAGCTGAGACAAAAGTAGGCCCAAATCCTTCCACAGGGACGGAATGATGCTGCCAGTTCACTGTCAGCATGGGTGGGAAGAGATTACTGACAAAACAGACCAAAGTGTTGGGCTTGCCAAACTCCAGGGGCTTCAGCGTGAACACTTCAGCGATAGGAAACCCTGGTGGGGGGATTGAAGTGTAGGGGGAAAAAGAGACTAGTTTAGATGGTATCTCTGTGTTTGGAGGGGCCATGGCATATGGAGGGGAGGGCAGAGAAGAACACAGTGGGTCAGGCTTTGGGAGACAGAGATGAGCGAGGAGCTGGGCTCTGAAGGGAGGTCTTCTTCCAGGCAAGGACTGCAGCTAGACGTAGAAGCAGAGCCAGATCCAGGCTACTCTGGACCCCTCCACCATGACTTCCTTCAGCACTTCCTGTCTAGAGCTCACATTGATGTCTAACCATGCACTGTCTTCTCACTAAGACATAGTCACGTCATCAGATATTTCCACTCTTCCCATCCATCTTGCTGGGCATAGTAGCACAAGTGTTAATATTCAGTAGGTATCAGTTGGTACCTGTTGAATTCATCACATTCAATACATAGTTCTGAATGCCTACTACATGCTAGGTACTTCGGCCCACCAAAAGAACACAGGGTGCAGACCAAGGCTGGTGGAAAAATTAAGGTGATGAAGAGAACCAGAAAGTATTTGAGATGGGGAGCTGGTATCAAGGGGAATTATTCAGTGTACAGATCAATGAGGTTAATGCAGCCCTCCTCCCTTCACTCCCCAGAAAACTCCTGACCTCTGGACACCGGGATTTTCCCATCAAGTTTTGGCCCTATTTGCTGGATCATCCACTCGCAGAACTCTTTGTCAAATAAAATGGCAGGAGCATCTCCCTGTTCCTGAGCCCAGTCAGCAAATTCGGGCAGGCGAGGCACCCGAGTGTTCTGGGAAAAGTCGAAGAAGAAAAGCTGGTCCTCGTCGTAGGCCTCAGAGAGTCCCACACTGGGACTCCCATCCTGGCAGTACACTGTGTGCAGGAATGTGTGGTTTTGCAGGTCATCTGGCCACATTGGAGTAGGAGCTGCAAAGGACACAGGGTGAGGTTCAGGGAGGTGGGAGCCTTCTCCTCCAACTTAAAAAACAGCAAGGTGGGGCTAGGCGCAGTGGCTCATGCCTGTAATCCCAGCACTTTGGGAGGCCAAGGTGGGTGGATCATGAGGTCAGGAGTTTGAGACCAGCCTGGCCAGCATGGTGAAACTCCATCTCTACTAAAAATACAAAAAAGTAGCTGGGCATGTTGGCATGCGCCTGTAGCTACTCGGGAGGCTGAGGGAGGAGAATTGCTTGAACCAGGGAGGCAGAGGTTGCCGGGAGCTAAGATTAAGCCACTGCACTCCAGCCTGGGTGACAGAGTGAGACTCTGTCTCAAAACAAAACAACAAAAACAAGCAAGGCCTGCTTAAGGAGCGTGGGCTGAGGTGAGACCCTTTCCTGTGTCTGTTATTTAGACTCCCCCTCCCAAAGGGGGTGAAGAACAAATTATGGCATCTCTCCAAGCTTCCCCTGCCTATAAAAAGGCCAGTTGGCAAAAGTAAAGAGTTCTACTTTCTAAAGTGACAGATTCAGGCCAGGCATGGTGGCTCATGCCTGTAATCCCAGCACTTTGGGAGGCTGAGGCAGGCAGATTGCTTGAGCCCAGGAGTTCAAGACCAACCTGGGCAACACAGCGAGACCCTGTCTCTACAAAAAATACAAAAACTTAGCCAGGTGTGGTGGCAAACACCTGTGGTCTCAGCTACTCTGGAGGCTGAGGCAGGAGGATTGCTTGTGCCTAGGAAGTTGGGGCTGCAGTGAGCCATGATTGTGCCACTGGACTCCAGCCCAGGTGACAGAATGAGCCCGTCTCAAAAAATATATATATAAAGGCCGGGCGCGGTGGCTCAAGCTTGTAATCCCAGCACTTTGGGAGGCCAAGGCGGGTGGATCACCTGAGGTCAGGAGTTTGAGACCAGCCTGGCAAACATGATGAAACCCCATCTCTACTAAAAATACAAAAATCAGCTGGGTGTGGTGGCATGCGCCTGTAATCCCAGCTACTTGGGAGGCTGAGGCAGGAGAGTCTCTTGAACCCCAGAGGCAGGGGTTGCAGGGAGCCGAGATCACGTCACTGCACTCTAGCCTGGGTGACAGAGCGAGATGCCGTGTCAAAAAAAATAAATTAAATCAAATAAAAAATTTAAAAATGTATATATATAAAATAAAGTGACAGATTCAGAGTCACTGTTCATTGTGTGTTTGGGGGCTGCACAAAGACACCTAGCCAAAGAAGCAAGTGAAAGCCTGCATTCTGCTCACCATGCCATACATCCTGGCATAGGGCTGTATCCTCCCAAAGGGGATTCCTTTGTCTAATTCATACCAGGCCACTGTATTGACTAGAGAAGGCCATGGATGGGTTTCTCACTCTTAGAAGGGAAAGAGGAGGAATGGCTACAGCCTCCCCAAGCCATAGATGGGACTGCCTCCCACTATCCCCAGACACAAATGGTAAATTGGAAAACCTGTATCCAGACATTTCTTCAGCCACTTCATTGGCACCAAGCGTCTCTCAAAATGTCTTCTGTTCCTTAACCTACCAGGCCTCCCAAAGACAGCAATGGGAGAAGTGACCCCATAACTGCATAAAATAATCCCTCTTCTTTGAAGCTCTTGGCAGGAATCGCTCAGCCAGCAGGAAACCTTTAACCCAATACCCAGAAAAACAGACATTTGGAGGAAGAGGGATCTTCCAGATTATTCTTCCATTCTGCCCCATCCTCTACAGAGAAGGAAACTAAGACACTTTTCAAGAATCACAAGATAAGTTAATGATAGAAAGCAGAGTAGAATCTTGAGTGGAGGAGTGAAAATAACATTCACTTTGTTCAAATCCCAGCTCTACCACTTTCCAATGGTGTGAACTTGCACAAATAACTCTGAGTCTCATTTTCTTCATTTGTAAAATGGAGAGAACAATCTCCGCTTCAAGAGATTGTCTTAAATGGAACATGCAAAGCATCACTGATATCGTTTACCAACCACACATAGCAGCTGTCTTTCCCCACTCCCCTGTTGTTTCCACTGCCTCATAAGACTTCCCACCACTCACAAAGCACAGCGCTTTTCCTCACAAAGCTGAGTGGGCTCCCTAGGTTCAGGATGGAAGTAAATAGGAGTACCATCTTACCTTCAGGGACGGCCCAGGAGTGGGGTAGCAGCCACAGAAGTGGTAACATCTGTAGCAGCGCAGCTCCTTGGTTCTGTTCATGACCCATACCTTCTTGCCACACAGTAGGTAGGAGCTACCAACCCAGCCAACCCAGCTTCCCCAACTCCCTCCCCGAGAGGGTGGCCTTAGATCATGTTTTGCCAGATCATTTCCAATAGGTGCCCTTGTCATTTTGTCTAAACCAATCAGAGAAGCGTAGGGTTTAACATCATCAGTCACTGGGGAGACGCCTGGGGCCAGTAACCTCCTGAAGACTTGGCTGTTTGACCAGGGCAGAGTATGGCATGTAACTGGGCTGGGAAGCCCAGTGGAGGAATGTTGCTTCCTGGTGGAGTTCCCTCTTTGGTTTCAAGCTGTCAGCCTCAGTCTGTAAGCGACCAGCTGGCTCTTCAGAGCAGTGCCACCTCCTGGCAGAATGCTGCAATGGGGAACCGCATCTTCCCCAAGTAAACCCCCAGGGCTCTTCGGACCCTGCCTTCTCCTCCCTCCTGGCTCTTCCTCTTTCTCAAAAAAACTTATTCTCCTTCAGGCATTAGCTCTAATTCATTTGGCAGACATATATTGAAAATACAAGAAATTCTGGGTGTTGGGCCCAGGGCTAGAAATACAAAGATGAATAGGCATAGTCTGCCTTCAAAGAGCTTAGAGTCTAGTGCTGGGGGAGGGGGCCAAGGGATAATTACACAACAATGTAATGTATTCAAATAAGAATGTGCCAAGTGTTTTGGAAGTCGCAGTAATTTTATGAGGATGCGGAATAGGAGGAACATAATCAGGCAGGCTCCTAAGACTTGAAGGAAAAACAATTTGGCCAGCAGAACATGAAGGAAGAGAAAAACACGCCAGGGCAAAGGGTAGGCAGAAGTACAAAGATCACAGGCATCCAGAGGTCCTCTTTGGAGACCCTGTGTACTAGTTGATATGAATGTTGTGAAGGTCGCTTGGGTGTTCCTGTATAATAGGAGGTAATGGGGGGTAGAAGGATGTTGTGATAAGCTACAAATTCGGGCAAGGGCCAGATCACGTGGGCCCTGCTACGCCACAAGGAGGAGCTTGCTTTTACTTAGCAGATGATAGAGATATTAAAACTGGGGAATGACAATCATTTTAGCATTTTGGAAAAAATGTTCTGATTGATATTTCAAACAATGAACTGGAGCTTTTAAAGAATTGAGGCAAAACTGCTGGGCAAGAGTCTATAGCATACCAAGATGAACAGTTGCACATATACACACCACTCCTGTAGCAATACAGCAATAATTTAAATGACAGATAATAAGAGCCTGAATTAAGTCATAATAAGAGGAGGCGGAGGAGATAGAATATCAAGATAATTAGGAAGTAGAATCTAAAGGGTTTGGCTACTGATTAGCTGTGGGAGTGGGAAGGTGGAGGAGTCAAAGATATCTCAGATTTCCAGCATGGGTGGCTGGGTGGGTGGTCAGGGATGGACTGAATTGAAGCAGAAAAGAATGCCATGGGAGCAGGTTTACAGAGAGAAAGAGCTTGATTTTGTACATGTTGAATTTGAAATGCCAGTGGAACAGCCAGCTGAAACTGCATGGGAGCGCAGTGAGGCGTGTGGGTATGGACCCCAGGTATGGTCTGAAGACCCTGATTTGAGAGTCATCAGCACAAATGTCGAAGCAGAGGCCATGAATAAGATCACCCAAGTAAACTGTGCAGAAGGAGTGGGAAGTGAAACAAGGACAAAAGCATGCATGGGCTCAAACCCCAAACCTCATACCAGTTATCCAGGATCCAGTCAGGAGCATTTAACTACTTTATGTGCTTCAGACTGAAAGAATTTAATATAGAGAATTGGTTACAAAGGTGTTAAAAGGGCAAGAAGTACAAAAAAAAAAAAAAAAGGAGAGTCCTAGAAATGTACATTTTAAAAAAAGATTGCTATCTGGAAATCAGAAGCTGCCATCATCCCTGAGCTGGAATCTGTAAATCTACTCATTGCCTTGTGAGAGACACTGTCATAGTCAGTTCCAATCTACTAGAAAGGTGCCACCTCCTTCAAGGCTAGAATCCTTGAGAAGGTACTTCTGCTCAGGAGGCTGGAGTCCTGAGTCTCCCATTCTTCCTGCTGCTACAGCTACAGCCAATAGCTACCAGCTATTGCCAGCCACCGACACTGTTTAGAGGCTGAAGCAGGATGCTTCTCAGTTTCTCTTGCCTTCTGATCTCCCATCAGTGCCTCCTACTGGCAGAATCAAAAAGGAAGCCAGATGTCCAGGAAGGCTGGGAAATACACACCTGGCTGACTCCTAAGCTAAGCAGTTCAAAACACAGTAGAGGAGGGTGTGTGTGTCACTGAGACAAAGATAATAACGAGTACACTGAAATACCCTGGTTTGTAAGAATCTGGTGGCACGAGGACCATCCAGAGCACTAAGAAAAGACCAAGGTAGAAGCAGATCAGAGAAATAAAAAAGAGGTGTGCCATGAAGGAGGGCAAGGTCAGCATTTTTAAATGCTACTCAAAAGTCAAGAAAGGATTGAAAAGTGTCCTTAGATTTGGTGATTATGAGATGGCTGACAAATTTATTGAGAGCAGTTTCAGTGTTGTAGTGGGAGTCAACTCCAGATTGTGGTGGGCTGAGAAGTAAGTGGGAGGTGAGGAAGAAACTGTCAGTGTACATGCTTCAAGTTTGTTAGACAAAAGAAAGAGAAAGACAGAAGGGGTGGGGGAAGAGGCAGTGAGAAAGCTCTAATGTGGCAATCAAGTAATCTGAGAAATTAATATATGTGAATATTGTCCAACAGTGTTTCTGAGGCTTTCAAAATTCATACCTTCCACCTTTTTTTTTTTTTTTTTTAAGACAAAGTTTCCCCTGTTGCCCAGACTGGAGTGCAGTGGCTACTTACAGGTGCAATCATAACTCACTCCAGTCTTGAACCCCCGAGTTCAAGCGATCCTCCCGCCTCAGTAGCTGGGGACTATAGGCACATGCCACTGTGCCTGGCTTCATATCCTCTTTTGATAAACAAGTAATAGCAGCAGTAATAGCCAAAAACAAAAACAACTCTATGACCTCCTAGATATTCTGGAACAGCAATGTGTATATATGTGTGTGTGTCTGTGTGGTGGAGGCAGGGTGCCAGGGAAGGACTAGGGTTTGGAAATCATGGTAACCCTCCAGAAAACAAAAGAACATTTCCCAGTATCCCAACATTTATGCACTAACCCATCAGCGGTTCTGGCAGTGGGAAGATGCAGGCCCCTGGACAGTAGAAAAGAAGTTTATGAGACTACCAGTGGGGAGACATATGGGACACAGCCACCTAGAGTCCTAAACCAGGGGTTAGCAAACTTTTTCTGTAAAGGGCCAGATGGCAAATATTTTAGACATTGTGGGCTATCAGATCTCTGTCATGAGTACTCAACTGTGGCACGAAAGCCTCCATGCACAATATGTAAATGAAGGAGAGTGGCTGTGTTCCTAGTTTCCTCCTAGCTTTTCCTCCCACTTCTTGAGCATCTCCTTCTCAGTCTCCTTCATAGACTCCTTCCTTTCAGCTACTCTTTAAATACTGGTGTTCCCTGGAGTTTTTGTCCTCAACCCTCTTTTTATTTATGGACACTAAAATTCAAATTTCATGTAATTTTCATGTGTCACGAAATATTCTTCATTTGCTTTTTTTTTTCCCTAACCATTTAAAAATGTGAAGACCATTCTTAGCTTTTAGGCCATTTAAAAACAGGTGGTAGGCAAGATTGTGCTCACAGCCCATAGTGTGCTGAATGATGCTCTACACGTGGTCAGAATTGGTACGAAAGCCCCAAATTAAACCCACCCTTCAAAGAAGAACCTCAGTCCCCTTATTATTGGATTGGCAATCAGTTAACAAACACTTTGTGCCAGTTACACCAGTCTATTTGGAAGGAGATCTGGGGAAGAACAGGAGAAACTAGACTGGGTGGAAGGGCATAGGAATAGGTACAGCAGACACTGCAATTTCTCTGGGTGAGAGGAACAAGGCAGAGGGGTCCAAGTTCTCCATAGGGAGCACAGTGTAGACAAGACCAAGGTGAGGACAAACATAACCATCCCTCACCAAGACTGTGGTGAGGGGTGGTTAACTCCATTCTCCCCTTCTATAATCTCAGTTTAAATGGTAACAAGTTCAAACACTTATAACTACTCTTCCCTCCATGTAATCCTTCCCCACCAGGACCTCCCAACTACCTCCATCATAAGTATCTCAGGAATAGTCTCTCATCAGTTTGGAAAGTAATAATTGTGGGCAAGAGATGAGCAAGGCAGCCAGTTCTGCTTTGCAGTAGTTCACTGTCTACTTTGTCATTAGCTATGAATGCCTCTGAAAATAATGGCACAGCACCGGTAAATCCAGGAGGCTCTGGCTTTCTAACACTCAGCTCTGCCATCCCTTTCTAGCATTTAAAAATGGACTCTATTTGGCCAGGCGCAGTGATTCACGCCTGTAATCCCAGCACTTTGGGAGGCCGAGGGGGGTGGATCACGAGGTCAGGAGATCAAGGCCATCCTGGTTAATGGTGAAATCCCATCTCTACTAAAAATACAAAAAAAAAAAAAAATTAGCCAGGCGTGATGGCGGGTGCCTGTAATCCAAGCTACTCAGGAGGCTGAGGCAGGAGAATCACTTGAATTCGGGAGGTGGAGGTTGCAGTGAGCTGAGATTGTGCCATTGCACTCCAGCCTGGGTGACAGAGCAAGACTCCATCTCAAAAAATAAATAAATAAATATATAAAAAGGACTCTATTTTTTTTCCCCTAGCAGAGTCAGATTTCTTGGAAAAGTCATGGGCAACTGTGGCCCCGCTCCCATTCTTGCCATTTAATCTTTTAACTCTCAACAATGCAATTGTTCACCAATACTTTTGTGTTGCCAAATCAAATGAACTAGTCTCTGCAACATCTGACACTGTTGGCCATACCCCATCTCCTAAATTGGTCAAATTTCTGGCATCCCTGATGGCACTCTCTCCTAGTTTTCCCTCCTACTTTTCTGGCGTCCCCTTTTCAGTCCCTTTGGGACTCCTTTCTTTCAGCAACCCTTTAAGTATTGGTGTTCCCTGGAGTTTTGTCCTCAACCTTTACTCTTCTTAGACTATACACTTGCCCTGGATGGTCCTCTCATTTACTCCCACATGCCTTCTGTTACCACCCATTTGCTAATGTCTTCCAAGCTTACCTCTTCAGCTCAGATCTTGCTCTGAGTTCCACACTACCCATATCTGAACCACTTCTGGTCAAATCCACTTGGATGCTATGCAATAGCAGTTTTTTGTTTTTGTTTTTTTTTTAAATATGGAACGCTTCATGAATTTGCATGTTCTTAAACTGTATTCTTCACAATAGCGTTCCTCAAGAAATAAAAAAAGTAAGTTTGATGATAGCAATCATTTATTTTTGAATTTATTTCCACATAGACATAATGCAACATCAAACACATTTATATAATATTTTTTATTATGTAACAATTTATTATATTTAATAAGTCTATTTATTGCAAGCAATAGAAACCAATTCTGGCTAACTTACATTTTAAAAATGAGGATTTATTGGAAAGATACTGATCTAACTCATGAAATGAAAGTAATAGTTGAATAAGCTAGCCTCAGGTAGAATAGCCACAGGGACCTTAGAAGCAGGGGTTGAGTTGCCATTAATATGCTCACCTGCAAAGGCCTCCTGCCTCTTTATCTTTCAAGTTTTGCTTTGCTGGGAGAGCCTCTCTCACTGGCTCAGCTTGTATTAGGTGTGTACCACTGGATTCATTGGTTGTGGCCAGGTACAGTATTACCTCTATGGATTAGAGCTATTCCTAGAGAAGGGAGAATCATATGAAAAGTAACCACCTCAATACAGCTATTTTCAACATATGGCATCTCAGACAATTGTATGAGATCATCTGAGGCATAAACATAAGGTTAAATCTGTGTATTAATGCTCAAACAGCATTTCCTAACTACTCAGGTGACATATGTCATCTGCTTGATGATCTCTGGTCGGTCACTTGTCTTATCACATATTCAAATTACATTTATCATGTGATTCAATATTGATTTATTAATTTAAAATTATATATTCCACGAATTTCCTTTGAATCTCTGACTAAAAAGGTTTTTTTAATTTTACTTTGAAAAGCTCCAAGCACACACAGAAGAGAAGAATCTAATAAACTCCAATGTACTCTCATGAATGTCAACAATTTTCAACATTTAACATTCTTCCATTCTTGTTTCATCTATTGTTCTGCATTTTTTGGAGTATTTTAAACAAATTCTGTCATTACATTTCACCAGTAAATACTTTTAGGCATATCTATAATAGATAATAACCTTTCCCTTAACATAACTATAATGCCATCACCACAACCAACAAAATTAAAAATTACTTAACTTCATTTGACCCAATCTGTTCATTTCTCCTAGTTATCTCAAAAATGTGTAAGAGAATGAAGTTTTAAATGAAAAGCAGTGTCTTATAATTTTCAAACCGTGCCATTAGTTTAAAAAAATTGGTGAGTTTTCTATTTTATGTTTCATAAGCTATTGATGGTTCAATAATGAATTCTAATTAGGTATTCCATAGGCAAATAAAGTTAGCAATTGTTACTCTGAATGTATCTCCATCTCAAGATTACAAGAGTACACTCATCACTTTCCCTTCCCAATATATTCCAACTCCTCTCTTATATTTAAGACTTCAGTGAATAACAAGATGTCCACCCGAGCTACAAATGTGGGTCATCGTTGATGACCCCATCTTCCTCAAACCTTCCCATTCAATTGTCCTAACAATTCTACCTTTCTAATAGCTCTTGAATCTTCCTTTCTTTTCCTTCCATTCCTACTGGTCCAGGCCTTCAATGGTTGGTTTTCACTGATTATTGCAACTTTCTTTATAATTGGTCTCTCTCTCTCCAATCTTATTATTTTCCACAGTGCTGCCAGAAGGATATTTTTATTATGCTTAGTTGATCATATTATACTTCTGCATGAAAACCTTCCATGATTGTTAATGATCTACTTTCCTTGTCATGACCCATAATGACCTGAAGTCTACTTACCTACTTCTATATGTCTTTTCAGGTGAAATCTCACTCCTCTCAGGAAGCCTTCCTTGAACCCAGAGTTGAGATTAATAGCCTCTTCAGTACGTTTCCAAAGCACCCTGTGTTGGCCATTATCACTGTTTTAATTGTATTATTCTCTTCCATTTATATGTCTGTTTCATAGTCACCTCATCTCTACTGCAAGGTCCTTAGGGGAGGGTGTACTATATATATATATATCTCCACCAAGAGGCCCACTAAGTGACCTTTCACTCGATGAACAAATGGGCTACCAGTCTCTGAAGGTGCTGAACTGAGAATGGAAGAGCCTTCAGGTATTAGATGATGATGGATTGTCCCTTCTAACAGATGTTTCAAAGGTAAATCTTATCAGGTTTATCTATAAGCCATTCTTTTTTTTTTTTTTTTGAGATGGAGTTTCACTCTGTTGCCAAGGCTGGAGTGCAGTGGTACGGTGTCCGCTCACTGCAACCTCCGCCTCCCAGGTTCAAGTGATTCTCCTGCCTCAGCCTCTGGAGTATCTGGGACTACGGGCACGTGCCACCATACCCGGCTAATTTTTTTTTTTTTTTTTGTATTTTTAGTAGAGATGGGGTTTCACTGTGTTAGCCAGGATAATCTTGATCTCCTGACCTCGTGATCCACCTGGCTCGGCCTCCCTAAGTGCTTTGATTACAGGCATGAGCAACCACACCCAGTCTCTATGAGCCATTTTACACCTCCACAGCCTTCCCTATATACTCTACTACCCTTCCAATTCCATTCTAGGCCCTTCCCAAGCTCCTTGCCAACTACCATTTTCTTCCTACTCCCTGCCACCTCCTGTTTCAGAGAGCAAACCTAGCCATCCAGCTCCCACATTTACTCTTATTTCTACCTCAGTACATTTCTCCATACCCATATTCATCCTCCCTTTTAGTGACATTACTATGATGCAGCAATCCTTACAACTACTCTACAAGGTTATAATTTATTATCCCCATTATATAAACAAGAAAACTGGGACTCAGAAAGGTTCATTTATTTAGCAAATATTTATTGGCCACCTTCTGTGTCTAGCAGTATGCTCTGTATCAGATACCTGCCATCATCACACTTAAAGTCTAATGAAAATAAAGAGACATTAAACAAGAAAACATACAAATTTATAAACTAAAAGGTCCACACACACACACACACAAAATCTCTTAGAATTGATAAATTCAGTACAGTTGCAGGATACAAAATTATCATATAAAAATTAATGGTGCTTCTGGATACAAACAGTAAACTAGTGGGAAAAGAAATCAAAGAAAGTAATCCCATTTACAATAGCTACAACCCCTCCCCCCACCAAAAAAACAAAATAGAATACCTAGAATAAACCAAGGAGGTGAAAGATCTCTACAAGGAAAACTATGAGACACTGAGGAAAAAAACTGAAGAGGTCACAAAAAAATAGAAAGACATCCTATGTCTTCGGAAGAATTCGTATCGTGAAAATGACTGTACTACCAAAAGCAATCTACAGATTTGTTGCAATTCCTATCAAAATACAAAGATATTCCTTGCAGAAACAGAAAAAACAAACCTAAAATTAATATGGAACCACAGAAAACACAAATAGTCAAGGTAATTCTGAACAAAAAGAACAAAGCTGTAGACATCATACCACCCAACTTCAAAATATACTACAAAGCTACAGTAACTAAAAGAGCACGGTACTGGCATAAAAACAGATACACAGACCAATAGAACCGAATAAAGGACCCAGAAATAATAGATCCACATCTTAACAGCCAACTGATTTTCAACAAAGGTACCAAGATATTCAATGGGAAAAGGACACACTCTTCATTAAATGGTGCTGGGAACACTGAATAACAATATGCAGAAAAATACAACTACACCCCCATCTCTCATCAAATACAAAAATTAAATCAAAATGGATTAAAAACTTAAATGTAAGACCTGAAACTATAAAAGTTACTGTAAGAAAATACTGGGGAAATGCTCAAGACTTTGAGCAAACATTTTTTGGTTTAAGACTTCAAAAGGAGAGGCAATGAAAGCAAAAATACACAAATGGGATTACATCAAGCTAAAAGGCTTCTGCCACAGCAAAGGAAACAATCAACAGAGTGAAGAGACAACCTTCAGAATGGGAAAAAATATGTGCAAACTATCCATCTGATAAGGGATTAATAACCAGAATATATAAGGAACTCAAACTCAACAGCAAAAATCCTCCAAATAATCCCATTTGAAAATGGGCAAATGATCTGAATAGACATTTCTCAAAAGACATACAAATGGCCAACAGGCATATGAAAAAATTCTCAACGTTACTAACCATCAGGGATATGCAAATCAAAACCACAATGAGATATCATCTGAATCTAATTAAAATGGCTATTATCAAAAAGACACAGATAAGAGATACTGGTGAGGATGCAAAGAAAGGGGAATGCTCATATACTGATGGTAGAAATGTAAATTAACATAGCCACTATGGAAAACAGCATAAAGGTTCCTCAAACAACTAAAAATAGATCTACTAGATGATTCAGCAATCCCACTGCTGGGTATATATCCAAAAGAAAGGAAATCAGTGTATCAAAGAGATGTGTACATGCCCATGTTTATTTCAGCACTACCCACAGTAGCCAAGACATGGAATCAATCTAAGTGTCTATCAAGTGACTGGATAAAGAAAATGTGGTGTATATATATACAATGGATACTAGTCAGCCATAAAAAAGAATGAAATCCTGTCATTTCCAGCAACATGGATGGAACTGGAAGTCATTATGTTAATGAAATAAGTCAGACACAGAAAAAAAAATATCACGTTCTCATAAGTGGGAGCTAAAAAAGTTGATCTTATGGAGGTAGAGGGTAGAATGATGGTTACCAGAGACTGGGAAAGGGAGGGGGTGGAGGGGGGATGAAGAGAGATTCATTAATGGTTACAAAAATATAGTTAAATTGAAGGAATAAATTCTATAGTGTTTGATAGCACAGCTGGGTGACTACAGTTAACATTAATTTACTGTATATTCCAAAATAGCTAGTAGATTTGAAGTGCTCCCAACAGAAGGAAATAATAAATGTTTGAGGTGATGGATATCCTAATTATCCTGATTTGATCATTACACATCGTATGCATGTATCAAAATATCATATGTACCCCATAAATATGTACAATTATTATGTATCAATAAAAAATAAAAAAAAACAATTCAGAAGTCCATAAACTTGGATGGAATAAAAAAAAGTCAACTTTATTTTCAAAAAACTCTCACTGAAATCTAATTTTATGAATGTAGAAAATAAATCTTTGTAGTACCAGCCAGCAGCTGTAACACTGTCATCAATAGAAAACACCATCAATTAATATTTTCATATCACATTATAGTTGTTACAGACATCTTAAAATATCACTTACAATTATGGGAGCTGTTAAACTTGCCAAAAAATCATGCTTTTTAATGTATTAGTAAAGAAACACTGTATTGTATTAATACAGAAACACATACTACTAGATCATCACACGTTTCTTTGAATATAGTAGTGTCCCCCACACAGCACCAAATGTGATTATACAGTTTATTCCTATCCATAGATATACCTATGATAAAGTTTAATTTATAAATTTGCACAGGAAGAGATTAACAACAAAATAGGACAATTATATTGTAATAAAAGTTATGTGAATATGGTCTTTCTGTCTCATACACAAAGTATCTTATTGTACTTATTTTCAGACCAGGTTGACCTTGGGTAACTGAAATCACAGAAATTGAAACTGCAGTTAAGGGGGGACCACTGTATTTTGATAACTATAGTTTATATTTTATTTTATGCATTTACAAATATTATCAGACAAGATCCAAAGGCTTCACCAAACTGCCAAAAAAGCTAATGGCACATAAAAAGCTTAAGGAGTCCTGATTTAATCAGTCATTCAATGAACATGACATCCTTCCTGGAACCATCTCCTGTTCTAGCTTCCTCACATTATGTTGCTCTGCTTCTCCTTGAGATCTTCCATTGGTTCCACTTCCTATTCTTGCTTCCTGTATGAAGATGTAACCCAAAGCTCAATCCTTCACCCTAAATTGTTTTTATACCCCCTCTTTTACAAACCTCAGCTACCTTCGTGGCTGATTCAAACATCACCTCAAAGGTGACTCTCAAATCTGCTTTTCCTAATCTTTTTTCTCTAACTTCAATCTTGGATCTTAAACTCCCTGCTGTGCCTAGTAAACAGAATAATATGCCACCCAGAGTCAGCTGGGTTCAAATCCCAGTTCTGCTACTTACTAAAGGTGTGACCTTAGGTAAATATTACCTGCTATGGTTTGAATCTCTCCTCCAAAACTCTTGTTGAAAATAATTGCCATTTTGACAGTTTTAAGAAGTGGGACCTTTAAGAGTTAATTAGGTCATGAGGGCTCTGCTCTCATGAATGGATTAATGCTACTAATGTAGGTATGGGTTCCCATTTAAAAGGGGACATTCTGAGGCCGGGCACAGTGGCTCACACCTGTAATCCCAGCACTTTGGGAGGCCGAGGCAGGTGGATCATGAGGTCAGGAGATGGAGACCATCCTGGCTAACACGGTGAAACCCCGTCCCTACTAAAAATACAAAAAATTAGCCAGGCTTGGTGGCGGGCACCTGTAGTCCTAGCTACTTGGGAGGCTGAGGCAGGAGAATGGTGTGAACCCGGGAGGAGGAGCTTGCAGTGAGCCAAGATTGCACTACTGCACTCCAGTCTGGGCGACAGAGCGAGACTCCGCCTCAAAACAAACAAACAAACAAAGGGTACATTCTGGCCTCTATTCTCTCTCCATCTCATGTGCTTGTTTGCCTTTCTGCCGTGGGATGATGCAGCACAAGGCTCTCACCAGATGCCAATGCCATGCTCTTGGACTTCCAAGCAACTGGAACTGAGCCAAATAAACTACTGTTTATAAATTACCCAGTCTGTGGTATTCTGTGATAGCATCAGAAAACAGACTAAGACGTCCTTTGCTTCTGTTGTTTCATTTGAAAACTGAGGGTGATAATATTAGTATTGACTTTATAGGGTTATAAGGATTAAAAGAGTTACTACATGTACTCATTGCAGTACCTGACACATTTTAACTACTCAATAAATGTTTTGTATCACCAATCACATCTCCTTCCAACCCCGACATTTTAATTTGATGTTTATTAACATGGACGGTGCCAGCCACTGGAAGACAGAGTTTCTATCTAACAACATAATTCTGATCAAGTCATTAGTCAAAAAATTTCAGTGGTTCCCCACTGATTCCAAACTTAACAGCACTGGAAACCTTCTATAATGTGTTCTCTAATATAAATTTACCTCCCATTTTCTCTTCTCCTGCTCTACTTCTTGTAGCTTATGTTCTGGCCAGACTGGACTAGACTACTCTCTGTGACAATAACCTGTGCTGTTCTATGTCTGTCTTTCCTCACATAATTCTAATGTCTCAGGTTTGAAGGCAATAATTTTGTCTATGATTATTCCCCTATACATGGCACCCCATAAAACATACACATTTCAATCTTACCTAAGTCACATACTTACTTACACATCAATTCACCTCCATATTTGCTCAATTTGTGAGAACCTAATATTGGCCAGATACTGTGCTAGGACCTAGGGATATTAAAAAAAAAAAAAAAAGCAAAGCAAGAAAAAGAATGCATAATGGCCCTGCTCTCAAAATCAAGGTCTAGTACTAGAGAGAAACATGTAATCACATAAATGCCATTCACTGTGGAAAGTAAAATCATAAGGGGAAGGGACACCAAAGAATGAGCAGTTAGCTCAACTTGAACAGTAACATTAAGCTTTTCAGAGATGTTATTTGGGCGTACATAGATTGGGGAAAAGTCTACTCCATATAGAAAGTGCACATGTGTAAAACACAGAGGCATGAAACAAAATGATGTGTCTGGGAAACAGTTCAATACAGCTGGAATATAGGGCCCAAGAGGAAGTGGTTAGACATGAGGCTGGAAAGCTAGGCAGACTGTTTTGGCAAACATAGGAATTTGGACTTTATCACATAGCCAATAAGGAATAACACAGAGTTTTAAAAAGAGCTATGGCCAGGGCTATATTTTGGAAAGCTCTCTCCTGGCAGTATTGTGGCAGAGGCAGAGAGGAAAGTCTAAAGCAGCACTGTCCAACAGAACTTCTTGTAATGAGGCCGCGCGCAGTGGCTCACGCCTGTAATCCCAGCACTTTGGGAGGCTGAGGCGGGCGGATCACGAGGTCAGGAATTCGAGACTAATTTGGCCAACATGGTGAAACCCCGTGTCTACTAAAAATACAGACACTAGCCGGGTGTGGTGGCAGGCGCCTGTAATCCCAGCTACTCGGGAGGCTGAGGCAGAATTGCTTGAACCCGGGAGGCAGAGGTTGCAGTAAGCCAAGACTGCGCCACTGCACTCCATCCTAGGCCACAGAGCAAGACTCCGTATCAGGGAAAGAAAAAAACAACTTCTTGCAATGACACAAATGTTCAATAATCTGTGCTTTCCCATATGACAGCCACTAGTCACATGTGGCTACTGAGAACTTAAAATGTGGCTAGTGTATTGAGACACTAAATTTAAAATTGTATTAATTTAAATCCAAATAGCCATGTGTCTAGCAAATAATTTAGGAGACTGTTGGTATAGCTCAGGTGATAGAATTAGGACAGAAGGGTGAGTTGATGGATAGTTAAGAGGCAAAATTATGAGTCTGTAAGGGTGTGAGAAAAGGAAATCAAGAACAGGCTCCCAGATTACAGACTTTGTGGTTAAACAGCCACCATTACTCAGGACAACAGAAGAGAAAGAGCAGGTCTAGAGTGTATAGTGATTTCATCAATTTTGAACATACTGGTGTCTGAGAGTTATCCCAGTGGGAATATTTAGTAGAAAGTTTAGCTTAGAGAGCTGTCTGAACTAAAGATTCAGACTTCAGAGGCTTTGAGCCATGGAGTCAGATTACCTAGAGAAGTTGAACAAAATTAGAAGCAAACAAGAATCACAGCAAATATCAACACATAAAAAGGGGCTAAGGAAGAAAAATCTACTGAGACTGGAGAGGAACAGTTACACAAATAGGAAAAGAAACAAGTGAGAGTGGTATAGAAGTCAAGGGTAGAGAGAATGTCAGGAAGGAAACATGATCAAATGTCGAATGCCTCAGAGGTCAAATAAAGTGAGAACTGTAAAGTGCTTCCTGACTTTGCCAGTTAGGAGGTTCTTGGTGACATCTGCCAGAAAAGTTTTGGTGGTAGCAGCCTGACAGAGGTAGCTTGAAGAGTGGGGATGGGGAAAGAGAATGTGACAAAGAATTGAGATAGTAAGGATAATTTCAATTTCAGGTCTTGGCTGTGCAAGGAAGCCGAGAGACATGAGTCTCTAAGAGGGCACGATATTGAGAGGGTTGTTATCTTTCTGTCAGCGGGGAAACCAAGAGAAAAGTTTAAAAAGGTCAAAAGGGGGAGAAGGGAAGACAGCTTCCGGGTAACAGAGAAGGTTGACCAGGTCAATAGTAAAGGATTTCCTCAAACCGAAGGGAGGACCTCTAGTGAAATGAGAAAGGAATACACAATTGACCCAGTTTGCAGGTGGGAAATGGGAAGCCAGTTCTGCAAATTGGCCTTTCTGTTCTGTGAAGTGCCATCTGTCGGTGAGGAGAGATTAGGGTCTGCAGCGTGAAAATCTGGACCATACTCTGGGTAATCAAGGGAGAGGTTATCGGCTAATGACAAATTAAAGGCTTACTTTTTAGCTGGCAACTGAATCACCATAACATTTTATGTTACCAGTTCCAAAATTTTGGGGGGAATTCACTCAAGCTTGGGAGAGGAGAGATCATAACTTTAAGAGTATAAGAGGTTTAAACGGTCCACTACGAAATAAATAGAGAAGGAAAAGTTATCAGCTGGTAAATATCGTAGAAGGTAGAGCGGTCCAGGGACTCACAGGTCTCACTAAAGAAAAGTCTAGCGTAGGTTCACGGCACGGAGAGATTTTAAGGCTGCCTAAGACTAAAGCCAAATACGAAGTCCACATCTGCGGTCCGCACCTTATCTCTCCGCGCGGCAGGCGCGACGAGGGCGAGAAACTCCCTCTCCAGTGGTCGCACCACACGACACCAGGGAAGGGGCCCCTCTCTCCAGACCCTCATATCTCCAGGTCCAGGCCCCATTTTCCTCCGCTGACAGCTCAGCAGCGTGCGCTTCCGCTGGATTCAGGCCAGGACCAGCGAAGCCGCACCTTACACCCACCGAGGAGGAAACAAGCCTGGCCACCCGAGGCTACCCCGCTAGGCCGCGGGTAGTGGGGGAGGGGGCGCTGAGGCAGGAGGTCAGCACCCGGGCGCGGGCTCCCGCCCCACGAAAAGCGCGCGCTCCAAGCCCCGCCGCCGGAGATGCGGTTCCGGTCCGGACGCCTGCGCACTACGGCTCTCCCCGCAGCCTCTGGCCCTCCTTCCCCCTCCCCCAGTCAGGGCGCACCCTTGCGCCTGCGCTGTGTGTGTTCCTGGTCTGCGGCAGCCATGCTGAACTCGTATGGAGAGGCGAGTGGGGGGGACAGAGTCCAGGACCGCGGGATAGGAAGCTGGGGATATGGACAAGCAGCAGCGTTATAGCGCTCTGGGTTTCGGGACATAGGCCTGGGCCATGCGGCCCCCTTGGCCCCTTGGCGCGACCCCCAGGAACGTTCGGAAAGCTGGTCCTCGTGGCTGGGGGAAAGGCGGGGGGTGGGGGGGAAGCGGGCACGTGACCCCGGTCAGCCAATCTGGGTGCTGCTGACGTGGCCGCGCGGCCCCGATGCTCTCCCCACCCCCCCAGCCCGTTCGGGAAGGGAGGGGCTGGGGGCTACGCCCCCTCCCCCAGCACGGCTTCGTTTTCTGGGGGGGGGTTGACACCCCGGATTACATACCCCGTACCAAGCCGAGGGCAACTTTGGAGGCCCCCTGGAAGGCTTTAGGATCCAGGTGAGAAGGGGCCCTTGTGGGGCGGAGATGTCAGTCAAGTGCTTAACCAATGGTGGGGAGTCCGGGAGGGGGATTCTTGGGGTTCAGGAAAGAATCCTGAGAGTGGGAAGATTTGTCCTTCAAACCTTTTACAGCCAATGGGAGCGTGGAGGGGGGGCGAGCGGGAGAGGGCCATGGGGGGGGAGGGGAATGGCCAGCCTCATGCCTCCGTACCCATTGGAGGGCAAAGGGGTTAGGGGGCGGTGTGGCCCCCCCTATTCCATTCGTCCCCTGGGGGTACAGCAGCCGGGAGCCAGGTGAGAAGGGATCCATCGGCGGCCGAGGGAGGGGTGACCTGGCGGTGGGCTGAGGAGTGGTGGCTGTGGCCCCTACCCGTGGATGTGAATGCTTTAGGAGTTGGCCACCCATGTTGTGAACTGAGGTTGTTCCCAGGCGCCAACTTCCTTTCTCCCCAGAGCCTCTGGAGGGAGCATTGCTGTGCGCCCTTTGTGTCCGCGGTAGGGGAGCTCCAGTCGTCACACCGCAGGCTGGAGGTTACGCTTCGAGTCGCTTACCGAATTTGTGTGCATTCACGTGGACACGGCCTGTGGGGCCTTTTGCCCCTGTAGGGTCTTTACTGAGCACGTGTCTACTCCAGGCTGGGGTGCTTACAAGCTGAAAGCTTGAGGTCTGCTTAGGAACAGAAACCAGGCCCAAGGTGGGTGCTGGCAGTAGGGGGTCTAGACAGCATGGTCTGAGATGCGAGGGAGGCTCGGGACCTGGAATGATTTCACAGCTCCCAAGGTTTCGGGTTTCTCCAGGGTGGCCTCTTCCATCGCCTCCCTCATCCCCTCCCCCAGTCCTGAACAGTTCTCTCCTTGTGTACTGCGGGGGAGGGAACGGAAAGGAGGAAAGAGTTACTTTCCCAAATTACTGAGTAGCAGTAGCCTCCCTGGTGACTCATGTGGGGGAAGGGAGGATAGAGGATCGGGAGGCAGTGATTTTCCGGAATGCAGGGAATAAACGAGAGCAATGTCTGGCTGCCCTTTTCCTAAGGCCTAGTATTTTCTCAGCCTCCTAAGTTTTTATTCCATGGCCGGCCCCCTGATGGGCCTCTGTCCTGGCCTGCAGAGCCCCGGTGGAGAAAAGCAGATTTGGGAGGTTGGGCCGCTAGGGGGAGGGGAAAAGGCCTCTGCAAAGTTGCTGTGTCATTGCCCTCCATGCTGCAGCCACCCAGACGGGGCCGCTTGTACTTTTGGGGGCCAGGGCCTGATCCCTGGCTGGGGGAAGGGGACTCTGCTCTCCTGACGCTCATTTTCCCCCGCCCTCCCGGGGTTTGCCCTACTCGGGGGGTCAGAAGACAGGAGATTGGCGGCCATTTTAGACGCAGTAACCGAGGTTGGAGTTGAAGGGCTACTGCAGAGGAGGGAGGGTGGCGTGGTTGCAGCTCAAGGACCTAGGCCCTTACGAGCCCTTCCCGGGCGAGGGGGAATCTTACCGTATATTTGTTCACCTACGTTGATTATTTTTCCCAGATACGTACACAAGTTTGTTTTCTCCCTGGTAGCGAAGAAAGGGGAAACGGGGGAGGGGACGCCCCACCAAAGCCCAGGTTTTCTCGGGTGGGGGAGATCCTTTCACTCTCTTGTAAGGGGGCGGGGACGGCCCCAGAGATGCTCTGGAGATCCTGACTCTGGGCTCTGGTTGATTCACAGAGTCTGCACCCTTATTTAGATAACCAAGTTAGGAGGAAGACTTAAGAGTAAGTTGGGGGGAGGGGGCGAAACTGAGCTCCCAAAATGGCTCCTGCCCCTCCTCGGAGGCGGACGGCCGGGGGGAGGGGAGGAGGGGAGGAGGGGGAGGGCTAGTCTGAGCCGCAGCCGCCGCCTCCTCCGCTCGCCCTCCTCCCTGGCGCTGACCGATGGACCAGCCGCTCCGTGGGGAGGACTCCGGACCCTGGTGGGGGGGCGGGGGGGTTCTTTCGCCCCCGTGGCGGAGGGCCCCTGAGAGGCGGATACGGGTGTGCCTTTGGGGGTGATGTGGCGTGTGGGGGGAAAGGTCCGAGCTCGCCTGGAGGGGGAGGGTTTTTCCCTTAAGTCATCCCTCCCAGGACTTGCTTTTTCTGCTCTGAGCCGGACGCCGGAATGGAGTTTGAGGAAGAGGTGAGGTGTGTTGCATTGTATAGGGTAGATGGATGCGTTTGGAGATTTTAATCCCACTTTTAGGGTTGCCGAGGATTTTTCGAACGAGCAGAAATGTATTGGTAACTGTAGGTGTGAGTGGGGAGGGATTAGAAAGGTGCTTGGACGTGCAAATTTGGGAGACGTATTTTAGCTTTTGTGGTCTTTGGGACTAAACAGTAGTAAATAATGTTTTGCTCGTCTTTCCATCGTTTGGCTTGAGGGAGGGAGTGGAGTATTATAAGACTCTGGCAACACTGTTTTAGACTGTGGGGCATGGGAACGTTAGATCCCCTCATCGCCGTTCTGAAGCCCGTAGCTGTTCGCCATAGAGGAGCAGGCCGCGGCTTCTAAGATGGCGTCTTTTTCCTCGTTTCAGATTCTTCGCTGCTGCTGCCTTACCGCCGAGAACCACCACCCGCCAGGCGTCTTGCGGCCACACCCCTGGCGGGTTCAGGCAGGCTACGCCCACGCGACCCCTCCCGTTTCCCTGCTTTGGCCAATGGAGGAGCTACGAATGGCACGACCTGCTCGAGCTTGGCAGTCTCCAGTTGGGCTGTGCATGGAAGCTTGGGAAGACTTTGTTGGAAGGGGAGGCGGGGAGAGAGTGCTGGAGGCTCTGGGGCGATGGCTTCCGCACCTCTTCCAACCACCCTCTTTCCCTGGAGTCGGCGGACCACAGCTCAGCCAATTGGCTTGGAGATGTGGCGGGTTGCCACTTCCCTGTGGGTCTCTGCGGCACTCTTCTGCCTGGTGACTGACACCTTGGAAATGAAGTTTATGACGTCATCGTTGCGGCTGGCCAATAGAAAAAGCTCCCGCGGAGAGGTGTTCCTTCCCCTTCGACTCAGCTTCTTCACCCGCGTGAGCGAGCGCGCGCGCGCGGAGGGGGTGGGGAAAATCTCAAGCAGGGTGGCGCGCATGAGCGGCGAAGCTCCTCCTCCCCGCCTATATATAAAGGGCTGGCGCGGGGCTCGGCGGCGCCATTTCGTGCTGGAGTGGAGCAGCCTCTAGAACGAGCTGGAGGATTCTGCCTACCGATACAGAGCCTTCGAGTCGTCCGGGGCCGCCATTACAATCCACCTCCATCCGCTTGGAAATGGCCTTCGTCCCGGCCTATGACTGGTCCCAGCGGGCAGTACAGACCCCCTAGAAGCCCCTGGAGCTCCCCTTTTTCGGGCCCCGCCCAATCCTCGGAGTCTGTCCACCCCCTCTACTCCGCCCTCAAGAGGATTTCAAAGATGGAGGCGGCGGCTCCCTAAACCACTTTTCGTGTTCATCCGCCTCCATCCGAGATCGAAACGGGACCTCGTCGGCCCCGTAGGGGCCCGACAAGAAGAGGGAATCCCTGCAGACCAACAGCGGGCTATATTGACGACGGTGTCTGAGATCGGGGACCGTCTTTTGAAGAGTCAGTCCCTCCTTAGTTGCCCGCCTCAGCTGAGGCCGCCGCCATTTTCTTGCTGTCCGCCGTCTGCAGAGCGCGCCAAGCTGCCCGGAGCTCTCCGAGAGGCCCCAAAGAGACTGCTTTCGTGCCGGCCAGGCAGGGGGTTTGTCGCCTGGAGGCCCAAGAGGAACGGCCTCCCCCCAACTTAGCGGGTTATGCTGGACCGGGCGGTGAGGGGAACCGAGGCCACCCGGACTTTCCGCGGCTGAGGGCAGCGCCGGTTCCTTGCGGTCAAGATGCTGCAAAACGTGACTCCCCACAATAAGTACGTTTCCGCGAGCCGCGTGTGGGAAGGGGATGTTGCAGGGCGGCGGCACAGGGGTGTGGGGCGCCGTGTTGGGAGTACTGAGCGGCCCCGGCGCGCTGCTGTTGCGGCGCAGCTGTCGACTCGGTCGCGCGGAGGGAATTGAGCGACGGTTTTGGAACGGTGGTGGCGGCTCGGCTACTGCTCGTGGAGGGGAATACAGGTTGTCAATTTATACGCTATTAATGCCGCCGTGGCCCAGTCTTAACCGAGTCAGGCAGAGCTAGTTTGACGGTGGAGTGGAGTGAGGTTGAACAGCAGGTTTGGCGTTTGGTGGGTCTGGTATCTAGCGGCGGTCTGTTAGCCTTTTAGGGGGGATTCACGGACACCTCTAGCGCCCTGTAGGGTTGCCATGGTGACGGAGCGCTTAAGGGACTGGCAACGGGGATTCCCAGAGAAGGGTAAAGGGATCACTCTCCCGTGTGTGCAGGTTCCTAATGCCCAGGGCATGTCATTAAATCTTTTGCTTTCTTTGGGTGGGTGGGTTGTGTGTGGTGTTTGTTGGTGCAGGGATTGTTTTTTCCTAACATTAAAAGTTTGATTCAGGGCAGGAGGGTAGAGCTAAGGTTCCTAGTTCAGCTCTGCGATGTAAACAATGAGATTCCCATATGATGTTTTAATTCTTAGGTGGTAGGAAAGACTGATCGGAGGAGCACCAGAGGGACTGTAAATGAACCACTGTTAGCGTTTGGTGTCCGGAGTTGGTGCTACAGGGGGAACTGGTAGTGGAATCGTGTTGTGTAGTGGGTGGGTGGAAGGGGGCTATCACTTGGTGACCTTGACTGTTTTGTACGGCTTTTTGACTTCCTTGGAGTGAGGAGACTCTGATTTGGTGCGAATAATTTTGAGGGCCTGGAAGTTACGGGCTGTGAAGTCTGACAAATTCTTCCTTGTCTGAATTTGTTTTTAAGTTGATATGGTTCTTCCTCTGGGTTTCTAGTCTATGTTCTGTTGTGGCGTGAACTACCCAGACCTTGTGGAAGATGGTGCTCTCTCTTCTATCTAGGTGGATTATTCTGTGTCTTATCAGCATTTTATGGAATTTTTTATAGCCATAATTTGTTCTTTTCCTCCTTACCGGCGCTCAACCACCATGGCAACCACCAAACCCCTAGTGAGGAGGAAGCTTGGGGTTTGAGTTTCTTAACTCCACCCATTTTGCTTAAGCCCCATCCCCATAGGGCTGTAGTTCTGAGATGTCGTGCCTTGTCAGAAACAATTTGGGAGTTTTTTAAAATATGAAAAAGAACAGATAGAGCCTATCAGACTTAAGAAGGTGGGATCTAGATAGTATACTAAAAATATTAATAAAAGGAAGGCGGGGCCAGCAATAAAAGCTCCACAGATTGTTTGGATATTGTTTCTGCTTAAGAAGCACTTGGCATAAGCTTAACCACCTCACTAGGGCCAGCACCTGGATTCATCAGACTATTGTGCAGATGCACTTTTTCCTCATTTGGACGATATTGCCCTAATTTTGTTCCCATCTTTACAGGCTCCCTGGGGAAGGGAATGCAGGGTTGCTGGGGCTGGGCCCAGAAGCAGCAGCACCAGGGAAGAGGATTCGAAAACCCTCTCTCTTGTATGAGGGCTTTGAGAGCCCCACAATGGCTTCGGTGCCTGCTTTGCAACTTACCCCTGCCAACCCACCACCCCCGGAGGTGTCCAATCCCAAAAAGCCAGGACGAGTTACCAACCAGCTGCAATACCTACACAAGGTAGTGATGAAGGCTCTGTGGAAACATCAGTTCGCATGGCCATTCCGGCAGCCTGTGGATGCTGTCAAACTGGGTCTACCGGTGAGTAGAGACATTGGAGCCGGGGAGGTGTGGGATGAGCAAGAATGCGTGTGAATGGGGGTGGTCTGCCTAGTGTAGATGCTGCGGCCCCTAGGGAGTTCCCATTTCTCCCCTGTAGGGCAGTTAGCTACCAGATTTCTGGGTATCTTGGTCCTTTGTGATTGATCCGACCGCTTGCTGTAACTATCTTGGCATCTTTCCTTGTGCCCTCCATGTGTCCTTCCTTAACTTTTGTGCCCTGGCTCCATTTTACAGATTCCCACCTCGGGTTGGGAGAGGACCACGGTGGCCAAAATTCTTAGCTTCTTCCTTTCCCTCATGCAGCCCATGGATAGCCAGCCCCAGAGGTAATGTCACAGGATGGGAAGTTTCCAGAGTGGGTGGGAGGTGGGTGGTTAGAGAAAGGCAGCAGGGGCCTCCCTGTGGATGTCAAGAATCTTTTTTATTTATTTATTTATTTTGTCCCACAGTTTAATTGGGGCCGCAGTTTAAGTAACTGTTCCTTTGATGCATAGGGGGTGTGTGTGTGTGTGTGTGTGTGTGTGTGAGAGTCGGGGATCGGTAGTCTCCCTATAAGCATTTATTTTTCTGTGGTTCTGACCTAACATTTTTTTATTTAGGATTATCACAAAATTATAAAACAGCCTATGGACATGGGTACTATTAAGAGGAGACTTGAAAACAATTATTATTGGGCTGCTTCAGAGTGTATGCAAGATTTTAATACCATGTTCACCAACTGTTACATTTACAACAAGGTGAGTTTTTCTGTGTGTTCATTTAGTAGGTGGGGAGAAACAGTAACTTCTATTATTGCTGGATATGTTGTCTACATAAAGTTTAAATCCTTTGCTACTGAAGGTGTTATCCAGGTAGGGTAGTCGGAGTCTTAAAAACCTGACTCTAGATGGTACTATTGAACACAGTGATGTGACTTCAGAGCTCTAGTTGAAGGTTATTTAGAACACTTCATACTTGGGGGTGGTGGTCCTGTTTCTTAGAAATCACCAGAGACCTGAGTAGACCAGGGATCTGTTTTCTTGTCAGCTCTCAAGTTTTTTCTTCTTTCGAATTTTGGGAGACAGTTAGGAGAAAGTGGAAATTAGTAGTGGCCTGGAGTAGGAAATTTTCTTTAAGATTTGATGACAAGATGACTGGTGGGGGTATGGTAATGGCCTAGGGCCTGAATGCCTCTGAGAAAGATGGTGTGTATCTATCTTCTGTTGGCATTTTTTAACTTTCTTTATTGCTGTCTGTGTTCTCATAGCCCACTGATGATATTGTCCTAATGGCACAAACGCTGGAAAAGATATTCCTACAGAAGGTTGCATCAATGCCACAAGAAGAACAAGAGCTGGTAGTGACCATCCCTAAGAACAGCCACAAGAAGGGGGCCAAGTTGGCAGGTAGGAAGAGTGGGAGTTTTGCAAATGGACAACTAAAGATGGGGAAGAGAATCAAACTACACTTTTTTCCTTTTTTCTAGCGCTCCAGGGCAGTGTTACCAGTGCCCATCAGGTGCCTGCCGTCTCTTCTGTGTCACACACAGCCCTCTATACTCCTCCACCTGAGATACCTACCACTGTCCTCAACATTCCCCACCCATCAGTCATTTCCTCTCCACTTCTCAAGTCCTTGCACTCTGCTGGACCCCCGCTCCTTGCTGTTACTGCAGCTCCTCCAGCCCAGCCCCTTGCCAAGGTATGATCTGTGGATTTCCTCTGGGCAGCAGGGAGGCAAGGGTCTTAAGTAAAGTGGGCTTGGAGTGACAGGTTCCCTATCTTGTTTCTTTCTGCAGAAAAAAGGCGTAAAGCGGAAAGCAGATACTACCACCCCTACACCTACAGCCATCTTGGCTCCTGGTTCTCCAGCTAGCCCTCCTGGGAGTCTTGAGCCTAAGGCAGCACGGCTTCCCCCTATGCGTAGAGAGAGTGGTCGCCCCATCAAGCCCCCACGCAAAGACTTGCCTGACTCTCAGCAACAACACCAGAGCTCTAAGAAAGGAAAGCTTTCAGAACAGTTAAAACATTGCAATGGCATTTTGAAGGAGTTACTCTCTAAGAAGCATGCTGCCTATGCTTGGCCTTTCTATAAACCAGTGGATGCTTCTGCACTTGGCCTGCATGACTACCATGACATCATTAAGCACCCCATGGACCTCAGCACTGTCAAGGTACCCACTGCATGGGGCAGATGGGATGCTCAGGCAGTGATGGGAGCCTAGGTGCAAAACAATAAGTCTCCTTATGTGGGCACACAGCAGTCTTTGGTTCTTGGCATTTTACTTTTATAAAATAATAGTGGAACAGAAGGTCTGGTGTTTTGAGAATTTGTATTTCTTGGAGTTTGAAACAGTAGGGTGGGGTTTCTTTGTCTTGAGAAAAATACTGTCTATAATTAAGTACTAATGTGGCAGTGTTGGGTTAAGGAAGTTATAGGGTGGAAAGACAGGCATAGGCCACCTCTCTGTCACTTAGAAATGATTTCTTTTTCTAGACATAAATATTTCTTCAACCCACCCAAATTCCTTTGACTTCAAACTTGAACCCCAGGGCACAGATCCTTAAGGTCATCCCCACTGTGCTCTCAAGAGAGGGCTCTTCTTGTGGTGTCTGGGGTTGGCAGGGAAAGGTGAGTCTTCCTGCCTGTGCAGCTTCTGATGCTGCCTCCTTCTGCAGCGGAAGATGGAGAACCGTGATTACCGGGATGCACAGGAGTTTGCTGCTGATGTACGGCTTATGTTCTCCAACTGCTATAAGTACAATCCCCCAGATCACGATGTTGTGGCAATGGCACGAAAGCTACAGGTGAGTGGAAAGGTTGGAGTTTGAAAAATAAATGGTATGGGGAGTTATTTTGTCATGTGTGCTGCATAGCCTCAACGTGAGGGTCTCACTGTTCTGTACAGTTGTAAATTGGAGCTATATCACTTGGTGGCTGGGTATGTAGGGCACTGTTTATCAGCATAGTTTTGAGTTTGTGCCTCTTTCTAGGATGTATTTGAGTTCCGTTATGCCAAGATGCCAGATGAACCACTAGAACCAGGGCCTTTACCAGTCTCTACTGCCATGCCCCCTGGCTTGGCCAAATCGTCTTCAGAGTCCTCCAGTGAGGAAAGTAGCAGTGAGAGCTCCTCTGAGGAAGAGGAGGAGGAAGATGAGGAGGACGAGGAGGAAGAAGAGAGTGAAAGCTCAGACTCAGAGGAAGAAAGGGCTCATCGCTTAGCAGAACTACAGGAACAGGTATTTTGTCACTCTTGAAAGTTTTTATTGGGTAAGAGGTTCATGCCCTTTGTCCTCATTTTTTCTTCTTGTTATTTTATCTTTATTTACTTTTTCCACTTCATGTTTTTTTTCCTTTAGCTTCGGGCAGTACATGAACAACTGGCTGCTCTGTCCCAGGGTCCAATATCCAAGCCCAAGAGGAAAAGAGAGAAAAAAGAGAAAAAGAAGAAACGGAAGGCAGAGAAGCATCGAGGCCGAGCTGGGGCCGATGAAGATGACAAGGGGCCTAGGGCACCCCGCCCACCTCAACCTAAGAAGTCCAAGAAAGCAAGTGGCAGTGGGGGTGGCAGTGCTGCTTTAGGCCCTTCTGGCTTTGGACCTTCTGGAGGAAGTGGCACCAAGTGAGTTAGAGTAGGAAGCAGAGACTAGTTTGGCTATTTCTGTCTCTCTGGGGGATGCCATCTCTCTTTGCAAAGATAATTCTAAATGGCCAGTTAACAGATACAATAGGCTTTGAGCAGTGGTCCCCAACCTTTTTGGCACCAGGGACCAGTTTCGTGGAAGACAGATTTTACCACAGACAGGGTTTGAGGGGATGGTTTTTGGGATGAAACTGTTCCACCTCAGATCATTGGGCCATTGGATTCCCATAAGGAGCATGCAGCCTGGATATGTACCATGCGCACTTCACAGTAGGGTTCATGCTTCTATGAGAATCTAATGCTTCTGCTGATGTGACAGGCAGTGATGCCCACATGCCGGCTGTTCACCTCCTGCGTAGCCCAGTAACAGGCCACGGACTGGTACTGGTCTGGGGGTTGGGACCCCTGGCTTTGGGAGTCAGGGTGTTTCACAGCTACTCTGACAGTGAACTCAAAGTAGCCATAAACTAGAAACATGAAGATGGCTGTGTTCCAAAAAGACTTTATTTGCAAAGACACGTGGCGATCAGATTTGTTCTCTGGGCCATATAGTTTGCCTGTTGCTCTAAATCAATGAGTCTAGACTTGTTTTTCATGGCGTAGTAGTTTTTGGTTTTTTGGTGTGGTTTTGTGTTTTGTTTTTTTTTTTGTTAGTTTGTTTTTTGTTTTGTTTTTTTTAAAGACTCCAGGCTGGAGTGCAGTGGCGTGATCTCGGCTTACTGCAACCTCCACTTCTCGGGTTCAAGCGATTCTCCTGCCTCAGCCTCCCAAGTAGCCAGGATTACAGGCATGCGCCACCACGCCCAGCTAATTTTTGTATTTTTAGTGCGCAGCTAGTTTATGTAGTTTTAGTGGAGACGGGGTTTCGCCATGTTGGGCAGGCTGGTCTTGAACTCCTGACCTCAAGTGATCTGCCCGCCTTGGCCTCCCAAAGTGCTGGGATTACAAATCTGAGCCACTGCAGCTGGCCCATGGTGTAGTTTGGTAGTGTTTAAGGGAGCAGAAAGACCCATGTCAGTATACCTAAACAGGTATACCTTGTTTTATTGTGCTTCACTTTACGGAGTTTTTTTTAGATACTACTTTTTTTTTTAGTTGAAGATTTGTGACAACCCTGTGTGGAGCAAGTCTTTCAACAGTTTTTCCAACATGTTTGTGTGTCACATTTTTAGTAATATTTTTTCATTAAGGTATGTACGTACATTGTCTTTTTAAAGACATGTTATTGCCTACTTACAGTCAAGAGCAAAATGCTCTGTTTCACTATACAGTGTCCCAGTAGCCCACCTCTTACTTGGCC
>NT_167247.2:4296689-4416587 GCF_000001405.40 Homo sapiens
GGCCAGGCTGGTCTTGAATGCCTGACCTTGTGATCCGCCCGCCTTGGCCTCCCAAAATGTTGGGATTACAGGGATGAGCCACTGCCCCCGGCCTAAAAATCTTAGTTCTTAATTATATTAACATAATCACTGATTTGCTTTATTTTATATATAGTATAGTTTCAAATAAGGATACAAATATTACTTAACCATAAAACAACTGAATGATGTTCAAAGTTCTGATAGTTCTTTTTGTCCTTAGAATATATTCTATTAAGTCAGCTGGGGCAACATAATGAGACCCCATTTCTATTTAAAACATGTATTTTAATTAACTGGGTATGGTGGCATGTTCCTGAAGTCCCAGCTACTGTACTTGGGAGACCGAGGTGGGAGGATCACGTGAGCCCAGGAATTTGAGGGTGCACTGAGCTATAATCACACCAGCGCACTCCAGCACTCCAGCCTTGGCTGGCAACAGAGCAAGACCCTGTCTAAAAAAACAACAAACAACAAACAACAACAACAACAAAAAATAGAGAGAGAAGAGAGAGAGTAAGTGTATTCCACCAAGAACATACAGTAGTATCTTTTAATATCACTTGGGATACTTATTTTTTCTGTGTGGTTCAGTTCTATTTGTTTTAAATTTTAGAGGTTTTTGTCAATTTTTTATTAACATTGTAAATTATTTATACGTTTCAAAGGTCAATATTCACTTCTCACTTCTATTCTCCCTTCCTTCCTAAAAGTAGCCATTTTTATTAATTTCTTGTTTATCCTTCCAATGCAGCTTTTTTCCCCCTTTGGAGACATGGTCTCACTCTGTTGCCCAAGCTGGAGTGCAGTGGCACCATCATAACTCACTATAGCCTCGAACTCCTAGGCTCAAATGATCCTCTTGCTTCAGCGTCCTGAGTAGTTAGGACTACAGGGGGTACCACCATGCCTGGCTAATTTTTTTATTTTATGTAGAGACAGAGTCTTGCTATGTTGGCCAGGCTGGTGTTAAATTCCTGACCTCAAGTGATCCTCCCACTTCATCCTCCCAAAGTGTGGGGATTATAGGCACAAGCCACCACATCTGACCCAATCCACCTTTTTGAAAAAATATGTATCTTTCCTCTTTCTTACCCCAAAGGCAGTACATAGTTTAATCATTGTATTGCACTGTGAATTTTCCACTCTAACCTAGAGATTCCTCCGTATTAGTTCAAAGAGATCTTTCTCATTCCTTTTCGTTAGACTTTTTCCTTTAATTGATACATGATATTTTACATATTTTATTTATGAGGTACATGTGAGTATCTGTTACATGCATACAATGAGACTAATGATCAAGTCAGGTATTTGGGGTATCCTTCACCTTGAGCATTTATCATTTCTATGTGTTGGCAACATCTCAAGTCCTCTCTTCTAGCTACTTTGAAATATACTATATATATATATATATATATATATATATATATATATATATATATATTGTTGCTGACTACAGTCACCCCAGTCTGCTATCAAACATTGGAACTTATTTTTTCTATCTCCTCATTCTTTTTAACAGCTTTGCATTACTCCATTGTGCAGATGTACTATAATTTTTTCAACTATTGTACTCTTACTAGGCATGTTTCCAATAATTTTCAATTGTTACAAATAATGACATATCATTTTTAAAAGGCAGATTACTATATAATAAAGATACATACTTCACTTTGGGAGGCCAAGGCGGACGGATCACAAGGTCAGGAGTTCGAGACCAGCCTGGCCAATATGGTGAAACCCTATCTCTACTAAAAATACAAAAATTAGCTGGGTGCGGTGGTGAATGCCTGTAGTCCCAGCTGCTCGGTAGGCTGAGGCAGGAGAATCACTTGAACCCAGCAGGCGGAGGTTGCAGTGAGCTGAGATGGCACCACTGCACTCCAGCCTGGGCAACAGAGCAAGACTCTGTCTCAAAAAAAACAAAAAACAAAAAGATACATATTTAAGTTTGGCATTTCCTTACATGTATTAAAATATGTTTTAACAGAAAAATATTACTTCTATTGATTTGTTTTTGGTTAGGTTATTAACACTCTCCTAAACACTTCGGTTTCATGCAACAATTTAGGAAATATCTGGTGTGCTTCTTAGTGAATGTGGAGATACTGGATTTGACAAATATCAGTTGGTTAGACTAGTGTTTGGCACATTGGAAGTGCTCAATAATAATAGTCAATACTATTATGAAAGATAATAGTATTAACAAAACAATACTTGTTAATATCAGAAAAACAAATTTTAATTTATTTTTCTTTATGCGGACATGTCATCAGGGAATTTGAGAGCAGGGTGACTACATTTTGTTTTAGTCAGCTGGGGCTTTAAACATTTATTGAGTAACCACCATGTTTCAGGCATTACAGTAAGAACTTGTACCTGAAGCAGATCCATATACTGAAGGCCCGAGGAAAGGAATAAAGGGCAACTGGGAACCTGACCAGGTCTCAAGAGCGGTGTTGGGACTCTAGGGAGGAGGCAGCAGAACGTTTCCAGTGGACGGAAGTGCCGGGGAGTCCACCTTGGGAGACCTTAGGCTTACTCAGATTTGGAGGCTCCAGGTGGGGTGGATGCAAACCACAAGATGGAGCCAAATTACAAGTCATAGGTAGCAACCTCCTAAACCACAAGGAGGAGAGGAGAGGAAGTGAAGTCGCTCCTCTGCGTGCACGATCACTTGTCTGGAAGCTTTTCTGAAGTCAGAGAGAAAGGAAAGCCTGAGAAGTGGGACATCATTCATTGAAAGGCATCTGTGTGTAGAGATAAATAGGGTAACATGATAGGGAGAGATTGGAGATAGGTGGTTTATTTAGCAAAGTTGGTCAATGAAGCTTCTCTGAATTGGTGCCACACGAGTTGTGAATGGGTGATGAATTGGAGGCATTAATGTTAAGGAGAATTCTGGGGAAGATAGTGTGGCTATTGCTTAATGAAAGAAGGAAGAGTAGAGGGAAGTAAAGATGAAGACACATGCAGCGCCAGATCATATAGAGTCTTGTTGACCAGGAGGGAATTTAGACTAAGCAAGAAAGAAAGTCTGAACTGGGGGAGTGCTTCGACTGATCCAGGAGGGAGAAGAAAATCTCTTCAGTAATTCCATCCCCAGTCATTCTTCAAGCTCACCTCATTCCCTGCAGCCTGTTGCTGCTGAAGCCTCAGAAGAAGTTTGTTCCCAAAGTTGGGAATACCTCCTCCTACACATTTCCTAGTAATGCTGATGTCTGACCCTGTTCATCCTGCCTCATGTCTCACAAGCTGGTCTCCATTCGCTGCTGAGTAGGACAGTGCAGTGGAAAGAACATGGGCTCTAGCATCACACAGACCTTCCAACCACCTCCTAGCTGTTTGACCTTGGGCAAGTTAGGTAATTTGAATCCTAGCTTCCTTCTTTATAAAATGAAATCATTATACTTAACTTGCAGATTGGTCATAAGGAAGAAATGAAATAATTCATGTATGGCAGAATGATGCTTTTCTTTTTCCTTTGTTTGTATTTAGGTTTGTCACACAAGACAATAGCACATGTCACCGCCAAGGCCTTTCCTCTTCTGGCTTTGGATTTCCCAAAATCTGAAGCTCACTTGACATTATGCCAGGTGTCCCAGACATTGTGCCAGAGAGAGAGAGGGGAATGCCTTTGACAGGCAAAGGGGGAAGGTTCTCCCAAACTGAGGAAGGCACAGTGGCCTGTGGGTCTGAAAGAGCCCTGCTTCCTTGCAGCAGCCAAGGCAGGTGGGGAGGCCTCCCAGGGACGGGGAAGTTGGCCGTATGGTGCATCTTTGCAGTCCTGCTCCCAGGCACTGGGGATCACTCCTCACTAAAGATTCCCCTGCCCCAAGCCTAGTGCAGAAGCAGCAGAGCTTCCACTTGGAAAAGAGCATACAGGTTAAGCCCTAGGCATGCTTGGAGTAAACAGTCTGGACTGGAGAAGACAACAGGGGCTTCTCCAAGGCCTCAGCACTGTGTCAGGGCGCAGACCCTTGGAACAACTGTAAGAGACCAGAAGCCCCAATAAAGACAGATTGAACTTAAAACCAGCCTCATGGCAGGGGTTTTGAATCAGATTTAAGATTTTTTAAAGAGCAGGTTTTGAATCAGATTTTCGATTATTTAAAGACATTTACTATTTTTTGCACTCTGTGCACTATCTTATTAATCTTTTGGACCAAGATTCAAATCCACTACACGTGAAAAGCATTAAGGCCAGGCACATTGCATGTGTTGGGTAAACGGTAGCCAATGTTATTAAAACCAGCTGCAGACAGTCGGACCAGGCTGGATTTGAAGCAAACAAAATTGAATTAAATAGAATTCTACAGTGTTTCAATGCCCATTATGTTCTGGGTGTTGGAACTATAAGACACAGCCTTCTCTTGCTTTAGAGGAGCAGTTAGTGGCAAAGGCAAATTCATACACAGTCAACTGACACAGGGCGGAATGTGGTATGCACTGCAGGGACAGGGTGGCCAGCATATTGGGGGCTGGGATTGAAAATGCTTCACAGAAGAGGTGACATTTAATCTGGACCCTGGAAGGACAGGTAGAATTTTGACTGGTTGGTGGAGGAAGGCAGGTCCAGCACAGAGAATAGTTTGTGCAAAGGCAGGGAGGAGTAAACATGCGACAACAGTTTTCTGTGACTTAAGCATTGATCATTTTCAGGAGGAGCTATTATATGGTTAAAATAGGCCAGGTGCGGTGGCTCATGCCTGTAATCCCAGCACTTTGGGAGGCCAAGGCAGGCGGAGCACCTGAGGTCAGAAGTTCGAGACCAGCCTGGCCAACATGGTGAAACCCGGTCTCTACTAAAAATAATAAAATTAGCCGGGCATGGTGGGGGGTGCCTGTAATTCCAGCTACTCAGGAGGGTGAGGCAGGAGAATTGCTTGAACCTGGGAGACAGAGGTTGCAGTGAGCTGAGATTGCACCACTGCACTCCAGCTTGGGTAACAGAGTGAGACTCTACCTCAAAAAAAAAAAAAAAAGGAAAGAAAAAAAGAAAAAGAAATACCCTGAGGACGGTTTGAGAAGGGTCTTCATCTTGTAGGTAATGGAGCACCTATAAGAATTTAAAGGAGGAAGGGAAAAAGCAGATATCCTATAAGCTTCTGAGAGAAAAAAACAACAACGATTACGTACAAAGTTTCATGACACAATATCTTTTGGATTATCAACAATAACGCAGGAAGCTAAGGGATTATAGAGAAATGCCTTAAAAATTCTGATGGAAATGATTTCCAATCTTGAATTTTATAACCGTGGAAGCTATTATTCAAGTGTGAGAGTAGAATAAATATATTTTCCGACATACGAAGCATAAAAAGTTTTCCTCATATGCACTGTTTCTCAGGAAGTGGAAAGAAGAGGTGCCTCATTAAAATAAGGCAGACCACAAAAGGGCAATGACTGGATACAAGAAGCAGAAGATCCAACTCGGAGGATAGGTAAATCCTGACGAGGATGGCGAAGAGTGATCTCAGAGTGACCGCTGTATCATCAAGGGCAAGGAGTTAAGAATGGAGCAGACAGAAGGTTCTGGGAGAGTTATATCTGGTGATAAAATTGACAGAATACCTGATGTGTTTGATTGTACTGTGAGGAATTTTGTGATTCATTAATAATAAGTACAAATACAGCCACACAAAGGAAAACAGGACAACTATATACTCCAGAGAAAACGAAGTCGTCTAGAAAAGGAAGAGTGAGCATGGCTTGCTCTATGGTTTGCCATTACATGGTCATATTGATAGAAACATAGTAAACACAGTAACTTTTACTATATTGTAAAAATTACAATATAGTCACATTAAAAGAAAGGGCATGGGAAAGGGGGCATGATGTTCTTTGAGGATGAAAAAAATCTAAATCCCCCTCTTCCACAGCAGGAGGTAAAGAGATAAAGCCTAAAGCTGAAAAATCTAGATGTAGCAACACAAACATGTTATTTAGAGATGGGAGGTTAATACCAACAAAACATATTAGAACAATTGAAAGTTATTTTCTGTAAGGGTGAGGATATGGTGGGAGATGGGGCTGGAAACTGGTATTTCTGTAGCAAATATTGTAGAAATATTTGACTCTTTAAACTATAACATAATTTGGTTAAAAATTAAAACCGAAAGAGAGTGGATGGGAAGAGGGGATCTGGAGGCAGTCCACGTAGACACTCTCAGAGAGCGTGACCAGGAGCTTGGGTGGAAGGGAGACTGGGTCAAGGACAGACAGAGGATTTGATGTTCTTGTTATATAGGAGAGATGACATGCTTATGATTTGTAGGGTGACCCTGCAAAAAGGGAGAGTTTGGATACAAAGGACAGGAGACTACTGGATGTCTGTTCTAAAAGAGAGTGAAAGATCAAGAATGCAGGAGGACAACTTGTTTTTTAAAATAAAAGACTACGTACCTTGAGACTAGAAACAAATGTGAGTATACACGCAGGTGCATAAATCTAAAAGCTCTGGAATTACTCCTAGAAGTTCCAGTGACTTCAGGGTAGTATATGCAACAGTAAAAAAAAAGCATATTTCTTTAGTCAAAAGAACACAATTTTAATGACTTTATCAAGCCTTAGGACAGAGATGAGAGAAACACCTTTCCAATGATGCATCAAGTTAACGTCTAAGCAAAAGATCAGCAGAGATCAGAGATTGTTGGGTACACACGTATCTTGTGATGTCTTCTGAGAACCAACTTATTCCTCTTTCTCTGAGAAGAACTTGACCCCTCGCCCCGGGGCTGAGTGCTTGGCAGCCACATTTGTGTTGAGATCTTGATTCCTGCTCTAACTACACAGGGCTGGGATGGACACCTGCTCCAAGTTTGGCCAGTCATTTATTTTTCCAGTAATTTAAAGCTGTGACTAGGAGACACAGCCTCTGTGGGTTGTGAGGGTTGAGATGATATAAACTCAGGAGCTGTCGGGTGGACATGTTCACTGAGAAGGACAGTCAGTCCACAGAGAGAGAACACCGCTAACATGCAGGGGGGTCTAGAGAACACAGACCATGTGGATCCGAGAGTGTTGGAGGGGCAGCTCTAGCTTCTCTGGGCTTTTCGGATCCGAGTTCTGTTCCTGGGAGGCCTGGCTAAAATCTACCCTTGGGCCCTGCACTCCTCCCCATGGCTATATTGCAAATATCCTATACTTTGCATGTGATCACACAAAGAGGGTTTCTGTTACTGGCACACAAAAAGTTTGCCTGAGATGATTCTCCTCCACTTCCATCAGGGTCTTCTGGTCATTGATTTCAACTTATTCTCTCTTAAGAAGCCCATTGAGTCCCCATAATCTCTTGGTTTCTTTCTTTTCCAGGACCAACTGCTCACAGTTCAAACCCTCATTTTGCCTCTATTTACTTGTACCTTGATTGGCTGATGCCCTAACAGACCCAGGTTCTTCAGAAAGCCTTCCTAGTCCACCTCAGACCTTGGGGATCCCCCTTTCCCATGACCCCCGATGGCACCTGATTACGTCACTGGGTTCCAGTTACCAGACCACAGCCAAGGTCCAGGATGGCTGCATCAGAGTCATCCAGAGCCGGTTAAAAATGACAGCCTCGGCTGGGCACAGTGGCTAATGCCTGTAATTCCAGTACTTTGGGAGGGAAGGTGGGTGGATCACGAGGTCAAGAGATGGAGGCCATCCTGGCCAACATGATGAAACCCCGTCTCTACTTAAAATACAAAAATTAGCTGAGTGTAGTGGCGCACACCTGTAGTCCCAGCTACTCAGGAGGCTGAGGCAGGAGAATGGCTTGAACTCAGGAGGTGGAGGTTGCAGTGAGCTGAGATCATGCCATGGCACTCCAGCCTGGTGACAGAGTGAGACCCCATCTCAGAAAAGACAGCCTCCCTGTTGCTGCCCCCTGCACTCCCGAGATTCTAATTCAGTAGGTCTGGGTGATGACTGTTATTTTTATATTTTATTTATTTATTTATTTAGAGACAGGGTCTCACTCTGTCACCTAGGCTGGAGTGCAGTGGCGCAATCTTGGCTCACTGCAGCCTTGAACTCCTGGGCTCAAGCACTCCTCCGGCCTCAGCCTCCCCAGTGGCTGGGAATACAGGTGCGAGCCACCATGCCTGGTTAATTTTTAAATCTTTCTTTGTAGAGATGGGGTCTCTCTATGTAGCCCAAGATGGTTTCCACCTCTTGGCCTCAAGCAGTCCTGTCCCCTTGGCCTCCCAAAGTGCTGGGATTACAGGAATGAGCCACTGCACCAGGCCAATGCCTGTACTTTTAAAAGGATCCCAAGCAGTTCTTATGTGCATTCTGGTTTGAAAACCGTAATCTGTATTGCTCATTTTGGTCCTGACATAAACTATGTGGTATGGTGATTTATCTCTTTGTATGTTTTAAATTCTGTTCACAGAAAAGTAGACCAAAATCTTCTAGGCCACATATTTAGAGTGTGTCTAGGTGGACCTCCCCTCTTACGAGATACCTCGCAGACCGACTCTACCACCTCCTACCTAACATGACTGACTCCACTGAGGGAAGTGGCCACCTTATCCAAGCCTTGGGCCTCTCTTTATCATGCATGGGACTCTAGGGAAAAGTAGAAAAAGGAGATAACATCATGGCAGGATACCAGTGGCCTCTTCATACAGAGTAAACCCAGGCAGGAGTGGAGTCCCCATGAGCCTGTCCTGTCCCAGCACCCTTCAGAACTGTTGTTAGCTGAGGGGGTCGTGAGGAACAGGATAATCTGCATCCCTTTCAGGGTAAACCTGAACTCAGGAGGCAAATTTCATGAAGTCCATGTGAAATGGCTCATTCACAAAGTAACACACAATGGGCCAAATGGAGCAAGACACACCTGTGTGGGCCCCAGGATGGCTGCCAATCCCCAGCACCACATGCCTCACCCCTGGAAGAACTGGCCAAGGCCTGGAAAGGACACAGTGCAAACACCACCAAAGCATTTAGTGCTGCCAGCCAGAGCTTTGGGTAGAGCAAGAATGTGTGTGTGTGTTGAATGGGAAGGGAAGCTAGTAGGTGTCCAACAAACCCTGCCATGAATACTGGGGCCAAAAAAGAGGGGACCCGTAGGACAGATGTTGATCCCACTCAAAGTCAGCACAGCGGGATGCACTTAAAGGGCACTGAGCACGCAGGGGCTGTCACAAACCCATGAGGATCTGCAGGGTGTCTCCCACAAGTCATTTCTCTCAGAAGGATCATTACCTAAAATAGCAGAAAACATACGATCGAGGTTGCTCAATTTCAATATGCTGGGATCCTATCTCTGAGTGCCCACCTCCCCCAAAACCTCACTCTCTCACCCCACCTCTGCTTCTTTTCTCCCTGCCCATTTCTTTTCTGACTTCTTTCCCCACAACAGAATCTCTGATTCTCCACCCACGTCCTGTTCAGAGTCATCCACTTTCCTCCCCCACCCCCCAGACTCCCGGGGCCTCTGCACCTGGGGACACTGGACACATATGTGCCCATGATGATGAGGACGGTGCCCACGAGGAAGCCCACCAGGCCGATGGCCAGGCCCAGGGCACAGACCAGGGTCTCCATGGCATCTGGTGGTGGAATAGGCACCTGGAGCTCTAGGAGAGAAAGGAAGGAGTTGGTGGTATATGAAAGGATTCTAGAGTAAAGGAAACCTGGGGCCAGGAGGGTGCATGGGGAGGGGGCTCCGTACCCCAATGCCTGAGGAGTGGCGCATCCAGGCCCCAGTGCTCCACCTGGCAGTCATAGACGTCCTCGGCTGAGGGCACGAAGGGCAGGTAGTGGAACTTGCGGAACAAATGGTCAGGCTGGGAATAGAAGCTGGTCTGGGCCACTCCCTCAGTGACAGTTTGGCCGTTGCGCAGCCAGGTGATATTGATCACAGGGGGGAAGATGTTGTCCACGATGCAGATGAGGATGTTGGGCTGGCCCAGCTCCACCCGAGACTTGGGGAGCACGGTCACCCGTGGAGGCACTAGGAGGAACAGGCCCTGAGTCCACAGGCTCATCCCTCACCCCAGGGCCTTACTAGGACTGGGATTAAGGGACGTTCCCCCTTTGTAGCCATCTGTGGGCAGGGGATGCTCTGGGGTATCCACTGGGGCAGGAGAGGAGGAAAACAGAGGGAGAGGAGACTGGGGAGGGAGTGGGGACGCCAGGAGCTCCTATATTTGACTGGTCCCTGGGCGGGAGTCCGGGTGAGAGGTGTCATTCCTCAAGGAGAGGGGTGCCAAAGGGGTCTGGGAAGACCTGGAGCCTCCTGGGAAAGAAAGGAACAGGGCATGACAGGCGCGGGCGCTGAGAGCGCGCCCCAGAGTGATGGGAGCCTAGGAACTGGGAGGAAGTTTCTCTGGACCTTCCCGCCTGACTGGGTGGGCAGAGGGAGGGCCGGTACCGTTGATGGCTCTGCTGCGGTTGGAGCGCTCCACCAGGATGTCCAGATGGGCTTTGATTGCGGCGATGCCGGCCAGCCCGCCCTGCGGGTCAAAGCGGGCAAAGTCACCAAACTCAGGCAGACGCCACACGGCCTCGCTTTTCTTCAGGTCCACAGAGAACAGCTGTTCCTCATCAAATTCATGGGTGAACTGGCCCGAGGCGCCGTAAGACTGGTAGAAGGCGGGTCCGTAGGAGCCCATGTGGTCAGCTGTGTTTGGCGAGTTCAGGGTCAAGGAGAGAGAAAAAAATGTGTCTGTCTCATCCACAATATGTGATTGTTGAGTCCCTGAGCCTGGGCCCCGTCCTGGGTTCTGTGTGGGGACAGAGTCCTGTTCTGACACTGGGCTGGCCCTGGGAGAGAGAAAGGGAGAGAGAACAGGAAGAAAGAGGCTCATCCCAGCACACTGCAGTCGGCACAGAGACAGTGCAGTCTGGCATATCAGGATGGGAAGAGGAGGGACTGCCTAAAATCATGCTTGGGGTTCCAGAATTTAAATCTTGGCTGTGGTCATCTGCCCTGGCTGTGTTGTCAGGCCCTGTGTTGTGAGCTGGTGGGACTGTGGGGGTGGGATGAGGAGGAATGATTAAGGACAGGAGAGTATGGAGCTTTGCACAGAGATGCAGTGCAGGTGGGTGTGAGGGGAAACAGGCCACGGCTGGCAGGGGTAAGAATTAAGGTTAGTGACCCAGAGACCAAGGGGATAGGGAGAGGCAACTCAAGGCATTACAAAGAGCACTGGACGAGGAGTCAGAAGTCAAGGTTCATGTCCCAATTCCTCCATCTCAGAGCATTATGACTGAGTGTGGCTCTTCCATAACTGTTGTCTAGTTTTCTGGAAGTTAGGGATTAAGTTTTAATTCTTGTAGAACTCTATGAAGTTGTTTGAGCAACAGTTATTGAGGAACTAGCATGCACCCAGCACAATGGGGGGCCAGGGAAATAAAAGAAAAAAAAGATGAACCATCTGTAGACCCGCACCCCAGCTCATGTCTCCCGAAGAACAAAGACAGGTAAATAGTTAACTACCGGCATGGGCATAAATACTGCAACAGAACTGGACTTGATCGGGCACATTCCCGGCCAGGGGTGGTAGAGAAATCAGGGTGCTTGCTGGCATCTGTTGGGTGGAGGTTTGGGTCTCAGGAAGGAGGAAGGAATGAGGAGAAATCTGAACGTCAGCAAAGGCTGACTGGGGCACCTGCGCAGCTGACCGAGCTGCATCTTCATTTAGGTCCAGAGTGGATGTGACAGAGATGAGGGGGATTGGGTGTCTCTTGGTGAAGGAAGTTGCCCATAAACCAGAGAGCGAGAGGAACAAGCATCCTCCATGCCACCTCCTCATGTAACCCAACTCCGTAAATCTCTGCTCCCCGCCGCACCCTCCTCGCCCTCGCACTCACCCTTGGTGGCCCCTGCCTCCTGCGGGCTCAGGAGGGTCATCAGGGTGTGGAACCCCAGGACCAGCCCTGCTCTGAGGGCCATTACACTCTGGTGCTTTAATCAAATCAGTCTCAGTCCGTGTGGTGAGGACAGGAACAAGGCGGAGGTAAAGAAGAAGAAAACAGATTCGAGGATGGGGGCGACCCCTGCTGTCTTCAGCCAATCACAGAAATTCTCTGAGTGAATGTATCTGTTGCTGGGTAAAGAGGGAAAGAGCCGGGGTGAGAAGGTGGAAGGATTCACTGGGCCCCCAGGAGAGGCCAGAGGAAGTTTTGGAGGATGGGAGGGGCTTGGACCAACTATTACCACGTCCTCCAAGAAGGGACCCCCTGAAGAGAGAGAAAAGGCCGTCAGAGCACCGCGCAGCTGAGCTCCAACAAATCCTCTCTCTATGTCCATCTGCGATGCAGGGAATCCTACTTTCCCAAGAAGTTTCCGTGGACAAATTTTGAGTTAGAAAGTAAAATAAACTTTACCAATAATCTTTAAAAGGAAAACATTGGCTACACAATGGAATAAAAACCTCTTAAAACTTTAAATCACTTTCAAAAATGTTATTTTATTTTTCTTTTATTATTATTTAATTTCATTGTGTAAGAAAAAATGTGTAATTGTTGGAGTTGTTTGGTCTAAAGCAAAGTGTAAAGAGCTCCCGTGGACTCCCCGAGGAGGGCAGAGGTGCTGGTCCTCTCTGTTGGTCCCTCCAGGACCCGGGCACCTCCTCCAGGCTGACACAGGCTGGAGGACGGCATCACCCTTGCCTTTGGCTTCTGGTTGGGCTCGGCTAATAAGAGGCACTGGGAGAATTTAGTCCAGTATATATATTTAAAAAACAAAACAAAACAAAACAACAACAACGTAAAGCTAACGTCTGTGTAAAGAGAAATCTAACCAAATTAGGCCATGTGTCAAAGACCATGAAATCGATGATTTTCAACTTGGAGGGAGCTAGGAAATCATGCGGGTCTCTGGTTCCAAATGAGAATCACCTGGGGGGTTCGTTATAATACGTGTTCCTGAGTTTCCTCTTTACTTAATGGGTTAGATTAGCCTTTCCAAGGCAGGGCCAGGGAACCTGTGTTTTCAGCATGCTCCCCAGGTGGTTCTCGGGTAGTCTGTGGACTGGTAAAACCTGCTCCAATGCTCTTTCCTCAATGAATAAGGGATGCCTATTTTAAGTGGGGCAGACACAGCTTCTGACTTCAAATTAATCAAATGACAGCTAGTAATTGATTTGCATGGCCCGGTTTATGGGGAGCCCTAATCTTAGTTTTTTCGTTTCTAGTCCACAGTGTCTACGTAATGCCTAGCACATCATAGGCGCCTAGGAGACACCTGCGCATGAATGAACAGTGTCTTCACTGCTTTGGTCCTGCCCTGGTTAGGACCCTTGCCACCTTCACCTCCCCCCAAGTGAGGTGGGAGCTGGAGCCATGAGATGAAAGACGGGAAAGCCATGAAAAACTCATGATAAAGAATGTTGCTTCTTTGGTTAATAACAGTCGAGTATCGGGTGTTTTTTTTATTTGAAAACATACATAGATTTTTTAAAGTATGTTTTTTGTTATTAACTTATAATTTAATTACATGATAATCCTCTATGGCTTGGAGTGTGGTGAACTTCTGTAAATATTTCACATGGGCTCTAATAAATGTGATGCAGAATTTTATACATGTACATGTTTATTGGATCAAGCATGTGGATTTTGTCATTCTAATTTATTACGGTTTTCTTTATCTTTGGACTGGCCTATACATAACTAAGAGTGGTGCATTTATTTATTTATTTTTTAGAGACAGGGCCTTGCTCTGTTGCTCAGGCTGGAGGGCAGTGAAGTAATCATGGCTCGCTGCAGCCTCAAACAGCTGGGCTTAAGCGATCCTCCTGCCTCAGCCTCCCAGAGTAGCTGGGACTATAGGCATGCCCCACAATTCCTGGCCTATGAATGGTATATTTAAATCTCTAACTGTGACTGTAGGTTTTTCAACTTGTTTCTAATTTTTAAATCAACTTTTGCCCTCTCTGCATTTAGGTTATTAAGGTGTTTACTCTTGGGAATTATTACAGTCTTGGTGAACTGAGCCTTTTCCCAATTTGTCCTGAGAATCTTTCTGTCCTACTCTGTCTTGTCTGATAGTAATAAGTTCTACAGCTGTCTTTGGGTATTTGTTCACTGTATCTTTTTCTACTCTTTTGTTTTTACTCTTCCTTTGTACTTATGCTTTAGATGTAGCCCTTGAAATGTCATAAATATAGATTTTTGCTTCTGATTCAATCTGACGATCTCTGTCTTCTAACCTATGTTCAATTCATATGGTAGTCAAAGTGAGCAAACTTGTTTCTGCAAGAGACAAACACTGAAGCCTCAGTGGTTTAACAAAACACAGGTTTATTTTTTAGCCACGTGTAGTTCAAGGCAGGTTGGGCACTCTGTAGCTCTTTTCCAAAACATGCCTCAAGGTGGCTAAGCTCCACTTTGCATCTCTATTATTGAAAAGCACTTCATGAACTCCTAGCTTTGCAGGTAGGAGAGAGAACCTGGGAAAGGCACATTGTTTCCATGGTTTTGGACCAGAAACTATTTGCCATCTCTGCTCACATTCCATTGGCAAGAAGTAAACAATGACCCCACATAGGCGCACGGGGATGGAAAAATGTACGTTACCTATGTGTGCAGGAAGATATAATGGTTTGGTGAGCACATGGCACTGTCTTTGCTGCATTCTGATTGTGTTTATTGTGAATATTGATGCACTTGGGCTTGTTTGTAATACCTTATTTATTTCAATATTTCTATTTTTTAAAGTTTTTTTGTTTGTTTGTTTGTTTGTTTTTGAGACGGAGTCTCGCTCTGTTGCCAGGCTGGAGTGTAGTGGCATGATCTGGGCTGGCTCACTGCAACCTCTGCTTCCCGGGTTCAAGCGATTCTCCTGCCTCAGCTTCCCGAGTGGCTGGGACTACAGGTGCATGCCACCATGCTTGGCTATTTTTTTTTTTTTTTTGTATTTTAGTAGAGACGGGGTTTCACCGTGTTGCCCAGGCTTATCCTCCTGAGCTCAGGCAATCTGCCTGGCTCGGCCTCACAAACTGCTAGGATTACAGGCGTGAGCCATCACACCCGGCCAAGTTTTCTTTTTTAATCTTCATTGCCTTTTTTTTTTTTTAAGTGTTACCGATACCTTCTCCATCTTCCCTCTGACTGGATAAGAACTTTAGCATGCTTTCAAATTTATTCACATATTTTCTCCTTCACCAAATTATTTGGTCAACATTACTTTTCATATCTTTTGGCACCTTCTAGAATGCGTTCTCTGATTAGAATTCTTCTTCCAAAAACTTTCAGATGTGGGAATTTGCATAGCAAACCTTCTAAAGTCTTGTATGCTTGATAATTTTTTAAAATTATACCAGCACTTTTGAATAAAGTTTAGCTGTGTATTACATACTATTTGAAGTATTTTCCCCTTTAATATTCTAAATAACATCATTCCAAATTTTTTTTTTTGCATCCAATGTCACAGTTAGAAAATCCCATGTCAGTCTTTCATGCTGGAATCTTCTAGAATTTTCTCATTGTCTTTGATATTTTTAAATTTTGCTAGTGTGTCTAGAGTGGGTTTTTCCTTCTCTCTGTAAGACATTATGGATCTTCTCTATCTTTTAATTCTGGGAATTCATCTTTTTATTTCTTTAACTATTTTTCTCCTCTATTTTTTGTCTTTGTGAAACTCATATAATCTATATTTGGATAATTCTCTCCTCCTTTTCCCCTGACTTTTCTATTGATGACTTCTCAATTCTTCCCTCTTTTGTTCTGAACTAGCTCCTCAGTGTAGTCCTCCATCTTTCTGTTTTGTTTTTCAGTTGCATCTCTCCCACTATTTATCCCATTAATGTGGCTTTTACTTTGACTATTATATATATTTTTTACACCTAGAACTTCTAGGTGTTTTCCCTATATTCTCTATTTTTTCATATTATAATAGCTTCTGACTTTTAAAGTGCACTTTTAATGCTCATTTTAAGCGGCTGGTCTATATTTTCTACCACTTCTTTCAAGGACATAGATGGTCCTGTTTGCTGTTTTTCTTTTGAGGTGTCGGCACTCCCTAAAGGTATTATTTTGACCCACTAGTGGCCATCTGTGTTGGTGTCATGTGTGTAAAGAGAAAGGAGGGCCAGCTGGAGTCCTAGGCCAGCGCAAAACCATAGTCACTACCCTTTGGGTGTCACTTCAGGTCAGGACTTCAGGGTGGGAGCACTAGGAGGCGTAGGGAGCACTGATAGCTGGGGTGGCAGAGGAGGCAATGACTAGGGCAGTCCCCAGCTCCTCCCACTCCAGCAGGATTTCAGCTTGGATTTTCTCACCCACCCCTCAACAGCTGGACAGGCAATCAGGATCTTGCCATCGTTTTTTGCAGCAGGGAGCAGGCAGTGATTGCTCAAGGCCAACACCGGGGAGGCAAGAGCAGAAGGTTCCAGGAACCTTCTCATAGCCACAGCCAGCAAGCAACCCAGTTCAGAACACCTTTCAGTCTCACCAGGGCTTCCTCATTATTTGTTTTCTTGGAATGTATATGTATGGTCCACATTCCCTCCTAGATGGAAAGGGCCTGTAAGAAGGGATCATGGATGATTGAATCTTTGTTACACAATCTTCCTTTTCCCCCTAAACGCTAGCACGTTATTAAATAAATAAGTCAATGATAACAAATAAAAGTGAATAAAGTGGATAACCCTGACTCTAGGGAGAGGTACTGTTATTGGGACTAGAGTCTAATAATGAGGCAAACACAGATTCGACAAAAACTTACTAAAGTGTCCTTTAAAAATGACACAAATCCAGTTGTTCTAAATTGTCTAAAATGCTGACTTTGAGGTAAAGTTGTATCTGTCATGTTCTTTGGAGCATGACAAGTTCAGGTAGGTGTTGGGGGATATTCTTCATTAAATACATGTTTATAGGACACCTGATGTGACTTAGGCACTGTGTGCTGCTCTGGGAGCACAGAAGAGCAGGACATGATCCCCTTCCTCAAGGACTGTGCTGTCCTGTGCAGTAGCCACAAGCCACCTGTAGCTATTAAGCCAAAAAAAACTCTAAGTATAAAATGCCCTGGGATTTGAAGACTTAATTAAATGTATATACATAATCTCAGTAATTTCTATATTAATTAATGTTCAGTTTGCAATTTTTTGTATATTTGCGGTTTAAAATATGTATTAGATTAATCTCACCTGTTTCTTATTGCTTTTTAAATGTAGCTACTAGAAAATTTGAAATTGAATTAAGAGGCTCCCATTATATTTCTACTGGACAGCGCTGCTCTGGGTGCTCTTGGTTGGCTACCAGTTGGCCACTGGCTCCTTTTCTGAGATTTTTACATTTAAGTAGCCAGCTTGCCAGAGTCTTCAAGTCCTTTCCTGTTACTACCTAGATATTCCACCAGAGGGCGACCTTACCATTGAATTTTTCCATTCTGGACCTTAGATCTGACTGTTTGCTGGTGCATCGCTCTGTTTTAATCTATTTTGCTTTAAGTGCCGTGCTAGGCTTTGGGACCACAATTATGGTTCCTGCCAACAAGAATGGCTGTCTTGGAAGTCTGTACACAGAACTAAATACGTGGTGGAAAAAGGAGAAGGTCTATTAATGTGCAATATAAATGTTCATGTGGCCTGCAACTTTCTGGGGCAATCCTTTCCCTAGTAATTAAGCAGTTTCAAGTGCCTGTCTAATTGCAGGAATTCAAATGGCTCACTGCTGTCACCAGAATGTCTGATAATTCCTGGACAGAGAAGTGATGCAAATGTGTGCTTACGTATGGAGTTGATGGCATCTCCTGCACCAGCCTCCTGCCCTGGGCAGACTGTTGTGGTCATTTGGGGGCAGCTCCCCAGCACAGCAGATTTCTTGCTGGCCATCACTTTTCAAACTCTGGACTTCTGCCCTTTGGCTGGGAACTGCTCACTTCCCTTAGAACTTTCCCCTCCCGTCTCCTGACTTCTCTAAATGCCAGAGTTCCAACCTCTGTCTCCTGGGAAATTCTAAGCTAAAATCACTCTTCCTTTATATCTGCAGATAGTTTGAAATTTATACATCAAAAAAAGTAACTTTAAAAATATATAACTGGTCTCATTACACTCTGGAGCAACAATTCCAAATGATGGTAGGAAAACCCCAAAATTGGCCATCGAAAGGCATAGATACAGCCCTTCCTGTTTAAAAGAGGTATTTTTGAAAAACTTCAAATGTCTTCTGGGAAAGGCACAATCTTTCACGGTTTCTTCTCTTCCCCCTCTCCCTCCCCCTTTTGGGAATGACATCCTGGGGCAGAGGATGAACTTACAGAGCGTGCTGGCTGTGGGAAGCTGGGTCTAGGTGGCATTTTTTCTCTTTTCTGATGGTTCTCTGCCCCCAGTTCCTTGGCCTGTCCCCATCGCTCGCCAACATTTCCGTGGCTGGTCTAATCTGCGATCGATTATCCCTGACGAAGGCAGTGGGGCTCAGCCACCTTGCCTGCTGGTGGCCCCAGCGTGGCTCTGCTACTACTCACATCCTTCCAGTTTGGCGAGGCTGCAGCCTGATCCTGGGCCCGTGTGTTCTGGGCTGTGGCCCCTGGCTCCAGGCCAGTTCAAGCCTCTCCATGACCATCCTGAACACCAATTTACTGCACGTCAACTCACTAAAATCAACCCATCAACTAATCAGAAATTAATACATCAAATCATCAATTCCCCAATTTTATCAATTTGCCAAAAACTTGACTTTAAAGTTTTGTCCTTTTATATTGAATTTAATGGTTTTTACAACTTTTGAAGACTTCTGAAAATGTTGGTTAATTTGCCTTTCCTTTTGTTTTCATAGTAGCTTATAAGTAATATTCGATTTGTCAGATGTTGGTGATACAGGGAGAAGATGACAATGGTGACAGAGTGTTTTTCATCTTCCCAAGTGTCCTCACAAAAACAGAGAGTGCAATTGGGATAGCAAAGGAAAATATCCACAGGCAGTGTCTCTTTATCAGACCAGGGATATCCCTAGAAGATCCCGTGAGACTCTAGAATGTGTGTGGGTAGATCCAAGCTGTAGATCCAAGGTAGATCCTGTGGGCTCTAGTGCCATGTGGAGGTAGCAGAGGGTTGAGAGGAGAGGGTTCTGGTGTTTCTAAGATCTCAGGAACACAGAAGTGGCCAGTGAGTGCCCACCTCCCAAAAGAGGTGATCTCAGTCTAGAATGAATCCCCAGCAGAGAGCTCTAAGGACCTAGACTTTTGTAAATTTAGAAACTCCCTTTTCTCTTACCAATGTCTAATTTTTAAGACTATGACTTTGATATAGCTGTCAATATTCTGTTTTGGAATATTGTTTGCTTTTGGTCTTCTGTGATAAAAATCCAAATTTTCCCCTGGGTGAATAGGCATAAGGTCACATCTAAAGAAGTGCAAAAGGAAAACATTAAGACCTCTAGTAAATTAATGTTTTTATAATAACATATATCTCCATATGCTTCACAGAAACATGTAACTTCTGTCTATACAAGCTTTGGGTATTTCATTTATAATGAAATGGCGCATTAACGTGTTTTTCTAAATCAAAAGTCAATTTCCTCCTTGAGATTAATTACATCTCCAGAATATGAAAGCAGCTTCTGACACTATGTATTTGAAATAGCAATTTCCCATGTTTGCTATAACAACAATAAATAAATTGTTGTGTAATACACAAAAGGGAATTCTTAATTCTGCCCTAGGTAGGAGAAGCTAGAGAGAAGATGACGTTTGAACTGTGCCTTGGAGGATAAATACAAGTCTACTGATGCGGAGAAGAGGATGAGAGCCTTGCAAGGAGAGAAGATGGCCTGGGCAAAGGCACAGAGGCCTCAAAGTATATGGTGGGCAGGGGACTGCTGCATGGCCAAGTAAACGAGGAGCCGGAGGAGACGAGGCTTAGGAAACAGGCTGGTGTCAAATTGTGAAAGCCGCAGATGTCCTGCTAAGTAATAGGGTTGTGCCTTATCTATGATTAATGGCAAGCAGGCACAGTTTTTGCCTTGGAGCCCGGTGAAAGCAGGATTGACTTGAATTGATAGAAAGAGAAAAGAGGCAGCAAACCATTTAATTGATTGACTGATCAATTAATTAATTACCCGAGTCTCCTTGTGAAAGTTCCAAACCTTCTCACTCTCCTCTCACTCCACATTCAGTTCTACATAGCAGCAGGAATTCCTTGGCTCTTACTTCATCAAGAAAATTGGTCAGGCACACCCTTCATCAGCGACATTCTGACCATTTGGAGACCCTGGTTTCTCTTTCTTCTTCTTCCTGAAGTCTCAGAGGCTGGGGCTCTTCCTGCTCCAGGCTAACCCTGACCTCCAGTTATGCGCTCGAGACCTTCACTCCTGCCTCCACTGGGAGCTTGTCTCAGCTGTCCTCCCTTCTATCTCTCTGTTAACTCTAATCAGCCCCCTGCTGCCAGATCCTTCCCTTCAGTTTAGAATTTAGGCTCAAATCTTCCTTGTCCCTAATGCTCTTCTCATCTCCCTAGCTTCCACCCTCATCTTTCTTCTTTACTCTTCCCATGTTCCTTAAAGAAAATGTTACACTTCTGTGTTTCCTCTTTCTCCCCTCCCACTCATTCTCAGCCCCACTGCAGTCTGACTTCCTTGTCCATGACCTCAGTGGGACAGAAATTGATTGCCAAGGTCACCAAATCTTTATCTTTGTGGAGTTTTCTGCTGCTTTCATCACAGTAGATCATTCCACTTTCTTGAAATCTCTCCTTATTCAGATTTCAAGACATCACACTCCTCTGATTTTCCTGACACCATTCAGATCATTCATTCTGGGGCTTCTGCTCCTCTGGGAATCTCTAAATGCAGAGTGCCTCTAGGGATCTGTCCCCAGCTAACAATGTCTCCTTGATCAAACATTCATTTGTATAGCTTCAATTCTTAGTCATCTAATTATACCTAACATAGCAAAGAACAATCCTTGGCATCTACTAGGTGCTTAGTAGCTGTCACATCTTTTCTTCTTCTCAGACCTTTTGAATACAGCAACCTGGTCTTCTATTAATGGAGAGCAAAATCTAACCATTCCACCTCCTCTCTCCTCAGGGCCACAATTTTATTCTTCTAGATATCTCTTCTTTCTCTACATTAATCCACTTCTTTTTCCATTTCTGTACACTCACTTTCCTTCTTTGGCTCTCTTCATCTGATCAAAATGAAAAATTAAAAGATATTTCAATGTTTTTGTGTAATAGCTAATCTATTATAAAATATTTATATTCTTAGACATGCAGCTTTATTATGCAATCACAAATGTTTTACACGTTTGACTTTTCTCAAAACCAAAAATCAGTTTTTAAAATTGCTTTTTACCTATATGTGGTTCTTGCTTGATGAAAACAAGCAACTAGAAAAAACTGGTCTACTTCCACTCAAACAGTGTCTCCAACTATGTGGCTTGCCCGGCTACCAGACCCTTCTTGAGAAATATTCTGCCGGACACAAATGAACACTCTTAGTTCACACTGCCCATTGGCACACGAGGGCATGGAGAGTGTTCTCTATGGAGAAGTAGGTGCTTACAGCAGAAATAGCCTTCCATGAGGTTGCGTCGGTTCTGCTTTCACTTTCCCGTCTCATGCAAAGTGGCCCAGAAAACAGCAGCCCCTCCCTGGAACTATTTCCTTCCTTTCTCAGAGAGTTGCATCTCCTGCTCTCTGGAAAGTTTCATGAGGAAATGGATTGCCTCTGTTCTTGGTGAAAATTAACTCCATTACTAAGTTCTTAATCTTTTTTGTTTATATAGCTCTCATTCCAAAAGACAATCTCCCTGACTGGGCTAGAAAGTCATATGTTTGTAAATAATCAGAGAGAGGCCAAGGAAAAGGACAGAGCTGGCCACTGAGCCCAGAGGGCTCTGTTATCAATCCCATGGCAATTCACTGCTAGTCTTCTGCAAAAGACACATGACCCAGAGGAGACCCTCAGACACAAGGAAAGAGGAACTCTGTAGGGGACTTAGAGGCAATCTCTTTAATTGGAGGGGCTAAATAGCTTTCCTCTCATGGTTTGCAGCTCAGTGTAAGGCCAGGCAAGCTCCCAGGAGGCCATCCAGGCTGTGAGGTCCCTAGAGAATCTCAGAGACCACACCAAAGGGTCACTCCTGTCTTAGCAACTGAGTAGGAAGCATTGTTGCCACCAAACTGTACAAATCTGAGAAACTTAGTCAAGGAGGGAAGGGAGGACTTTGGGGCTTAGAGTTAAGCAGACTACTGCCCAGACAGGCGATGGCAAGGACAGGCAGAGTCCAAAGTGTCCTTTGAGACAGAAGCAGCATCAATGGTGTGGTGATAATCCAAGGACATGATAGAACTTCAGGGGATAAACACACACGGATTCTAGAGAAAAACTGTATACACGGCCAGCGTGGATTAGTCTCAAAGCCAAGGGGAGGTTTGATGGGACTGAGATGTCTTCATGAGGCCAACCCGGAGTGGGACTGCCCTCATTTCCAGAGGATTTAGTAAGTAGGTTTGGGCAGAGAGTCAGGCTGGGACCAGCTATAAAGGCTTTGCCAATCTGACTTGACTTAGTGCCATAGGAAAGTGAAGGCAGGAAACTGATGCTAATTGATTCTGGGCCTCTTGTTTTCTGCCTCAAAATAGAGAGCTCTGGGATTGAGGAGGGAATCATACTAGCACCATAAATGGTTTGAAGGGGAAAATGTGAAAACATTTTTTATATGTCATGTCAAAGTCCAGTCTTTCTGGAGCACAGCGTGTTTGTAAGGACACAGAGGGAGGTCAGGCTGAGGAAAGACTGTAGACAACTGCAATGCCAGGCTCAGGATGTGGGACTTTGCAGGCAGTGGAGAGACAGTGATGGTTTTTGAGGAGGAAGTGAGATGATCATGGTTGTGTTCTAGGATTATTAACCTGGCACTAGTGTAGCAAATAAATTCGATCTGAGGGTGGCAGGAAGGTTAAAGAAAAAATAAGAACAGCCTTAGCCAACTGCTTTGGAGAACAACAGGGTAAGCTCAGAAATGCCCAATTCGATACAATAATTATCACAAAAGGAGTTGCATTTGTAACGTACGTATTACTTTTTAATGTGCCTTTTCATCTGTCACATCATCTGGTGCCTCTGGTGTGACCTTCCAAGTCCATCCTCCTTCCTGACCCTATCCATCCAGGCTCAGCCCCTGGGAGTGTGCCCACTGCTCCTACAGTGCCTTCCACCACTGGTCCTGAGTTTTGGAGAAGACATAGGGAGATGACAAAACTTTAGAAACAACGGAAACAATTTAGGGAATGGGGTGGTCACTATGAGAGGAATAAAAGATGTCCACTGTAGACAGCATATATGGTGCAAGTCTATAATCTTGGAAAAAGTCAGACTACATTAATCTTGTTCACCAAATCCTGAAATACACAACAGGGAGAGTCTTTTAAACTTTGAAGATGGTAAGTTTAACATAAGTAGAAAAGCAGACTCTCTCATACCAAGGCTAACAAACCTATGGGAACCTGTTAGTCCCAAAAGTGAAATGTGTAAATTCTCAAAACATGTACATATATATATATAATCTACTCACACACACACAAGGGTGACAGAAACTTGAAGGACTGCTAAGAGAGCTCAAGGATATTTATGGCCTATTTAAACTTATGAAGCTTCTGTGGAGGAAATCTGTCCTTCTACACTTTGTCCCTGATGAAAGAGAGAAACCCTATGCTTACAGCAATATCCACCAGGAGTGATTTTGCCTCACAGGGGATATTTGCCAATGTCTGTAAACATTTTTGTTCTCACACTAGGAGAGGGGAGCACTATTGATATCTGGTGGGTGTAGCCCAGGGATGTTGGATGTTGCTAAACATCTTGGAATGCGTAGGACAGCCCCCAGCACAAAGAATTATTCAGCCCTAAATGGCAATGGTGCCAGGTTGAGAAACCATGGCTTAGGGTCATGCTCCTGCCCTAAAGTGCCATTGCTATTGTTTGCAAGTTTAATTATTCCAGGAGCTATACCTCTGTTAAGGACTGAATTTTATCCCTCCCCACAACTCGAAATTCCTATGTTGAAACCTTAACACCTAATGTGAATGCTTTGGAGACAGGGCCTTTAAATAGGTAATTAAGGTGAAACGAGGTTATCCAGGTGGGGCCCTAAGGCCCCTTATAAGGACTGGTGTCCTTATAAGAAGAGGAAGAGACACCAGGAGAGCAAATGCACAGAGGCCCTGTGAGGACACAGTGAGAAGGCAGTCATCTCCAGGCCAGCGAGAGAGGCCTCAGAATGGAACCTACCTTGCTGGCAACTTGATCTTGGACTTCCAGACTCTGAGAAAATAAGTTTAAGTTTAAGCCACCCAGCCTGTGGTATCTTGTTATGGTGGCCCTGGCTAACTAATCACCCTTTCTCACTTACCTTTAGCTCTTCCTTACTCAATAAGTTTCCACTGAAAACTAGATGCTGGTGTGGTCCCCCTGCCCGATGTGCACACGTGGCCCACTGCAGATGGACCTACACAAGTGGCGCTGGAACCCTGAGGGGCTGAGGGGACCCCGCGTCCAGGCCACCCAGGTGCGGGGTGAGGGGGCACCCCAACTTCCCTGGATCACATGGGCTGCGGTGGCCGGTGGATCAGGGAGGAGAGGCGCGGGGAGCTTGCTGCAACTCCTCACCAGGGCAGGAGGGAAGATGCCCCCCACCTCCTCTAGTTCACCCTCTGGATTCAAGTTTGTCAGCCCCTGCCGCTGAGATCAGGGGATGGCACCAGATAGAATTTTAATTCAAAAGGAAGCAGAACTTAAAGATTAAGAAAATTCTTAGCCTATCCATATTGTGAAAACTAAGAAATCATGTTCAGGACAGAACACCAGTGGTGTGTCTATGTAACCATCGGATGAGGAAATTAGTATGGATCAACCATCTCAGTGGAATCTGGGTGCTATTCATCAAGGCAATGAAAGAATGACCCAAAGACATTTCAGATCAGGGCTGCCACTCCTATCCGAGGTGCGGAATACAAGGGCATGAGGGACAGAATGATTTCAAAGGAGGGGCTGCAGGTACTTGTGGGGCTTCAGCACTCACTATCATGGGCCACCTTGAGGCTCTGCTCTCCACATTCCATCACAGGGCTCCTAGGCTACCCCAGGTATGGCTCCAACAGATCCTGGTTTAGTGAGTGCTGTGCTCTGAAAAGCTGTGCGGGCATGGTAACCTCCACCTAGATTTCAAAGGATGCTCTGGAAAGCCACAGTGCGTAGGCAGAAAGCCACCATGTGCAGGGCCACCATGGAGAGATTGCACTGCGCAATGCCCAGTGAAGCAGTAGGGTAAGGCCACCCCTGAGGCCCTAGACCAATTGAACCACTGGTATACAATTTCAGCCTGGGAGAGCCTCGGGCACCCAGCTGCCTCAGAGGTAGGGCCACCAAAGGGAGCAACTATGAGGGCAGGGCTGCACAAAGCCATGAGGCAGAGGCCACCTCCCCAGTGTGCCTGGAGGGCAGAACCTTGATTCAAAAAGATTATTCTGGAAACTTGACTTGCTCAGGACCTGGTACACTTTTCTTCTCTCCCATTTCTTCCTTTTGGAATAAGAATTTCTATCCTATGCCTGTCCCATCATTATATTTTGGAAGCAAATAGCATATTCGATTTCACAGCTGGAGAGCAATTTGCCTCACAATGAATCATACCTTGAGTCTCATCCATATCTGATTTATCCTCTTAACCCTTTTATGTGTATAGCTCAGTTGGGTAAATAATATTCACATTGTTGTGTGACAACTCTAGAACTTTTTTATATGCAAAATGAAACTTTATCCTCAGGGAACAACTCCCTATTTCCCGCTCTTCCCAGCTCCTGGAAACCCCCACTCTGTTTCTATTATTTTGACTTTAGATATCTCTTATAAGTGTAATCATACAGTATTTATCTTTTTGTGACTGGCTTATTCCACTTACCATAATGTTCATCCATGTTGTACCATGTAAGAGGATTTCTTCTTTTTTTAAGGCTGAATAATATTCCACTGCATATACATATATATATATATACACACCACATTTTCTTTATTCATTTATCTGTCAATAAACTTTTCGGTTGTTTACACCCATTGTCTATTGTAAATAATGCTGCAATGTACATGAAAGCAGAAATATCTTTATTAAATGCTGATTTTGTTTCCTTTGGGTATGTATCGAGACATGGAATTGCTGAATCATGTGATAATTTTATTTGTAAACTTTTTAGGAAATCTCATACTGTTTTCCATGGTGGCTGCACCATTTACATTCCTACCAACAGTGCACCAGGATTCCAGTTCTTGACATCCTCGCTAACACTTGTTATTTTTTTTGTTGGGTTGGTTTTGTAGTGGCCACCTTAATGGCTGTGAGATATCTATCTCATTGTGGTTTTGATTCATGTTTCTCGAATAATTAATGGTGTTACACATATTTTCATACACTTGTTGGCTATTTGTATATATTATTTGAAGAATTATCTGTTCAAGTCCTTTGCCCATTTTTAAACCAGGTTATTTGCTTTTTTAATTGACAAAGAAAAATCATATATACCTATCATGTACAACGTGATGTTTAAAATATGTATGCATTGTGGAATGGTTAAATTGACCTAATTAATATATGCATTATATACTTCTATGGTGAGAACACTTAAAACCTACTCTCTTAGCAATTTGCAAGAATACAATGCATTGTTATTAATTATATTCACCACATTGTACACTAGGCCTCTTGAACGTATTCCTCCTATTTGGCTGAAATTTTGTAACCTGGGACAAACATCTTTCCAACCAGCAGCATTTTCAGCTCCTAATAACCACCATTCTATTCACTATTTTTATTAGTTCAACTTTTTTGGATTCACATATAAATGAGATTATGTGGTATTTGTCTTTCTGTGGCATATCCACTTAACATAATGTTCTTCAAGTTCATCCATTTTTGTTGTGAGTGACAGGATCTTACTCTTTTTTAAGGCTCAATAGTATGCCATTGTGTGTATATACCACATTTTCATTATCCATTTATCTGTTGATACACACTTAGGTTGTTTCCATATCTTAGCTATTGTGAACAATGTTGCAATGAACATGGAGCATAAGTATCTCTATGAAGTGCTGATTTCATTTCCTTTGGGTGTATGCTCAGAAATGAGATTGCTGGATCACATGGTAGTTCTATTTTTAATTTTTTAAGGAGCCTCCATACTGTTTTCCATAATGACTATATAATTTACATTCCCACCAACAGTGTACAAGGGTTCCCTTTTCTCCACACCCTTGCCAGCACTTGTTACCTGCCTTTGGCAATAGTCATTCTAACAGTTGTGAGATGGTATCTCACTGTGGTTTTAATTTTCATTTCTCTGATTAGCTATGTCGAGCATTTTTTTCATATGCCTGTTGGCCATTTGTATGTCAACTTTTGAGAAATGTCTTTTCAAATCCTTTGCTCATTTTAAAATCAGGCTGTTTTCTTGCTATTGAGTTGTTTGGATTCCTATACCCCTTATCAAGCATATGGTTTGCAAATGTTTTGTCCCATTCCATATGTTGTCTCTTCACTCTATTGATTGTTTCTTTGGCTGTAAGAAAAACAAGGTTTTTAGTTTGATATAATCCCATTTGTCTATTTTTGCTTTTGTTGCCTGTGCTTTTGGGATTATATCAAAAAATTATTGCCCAAACTAATGTCATGGAGCTTTTCTTCTATGTTTTCTTCTAGTAGTTTTACAGTTTCAGGTCTTATGTGTAAGCCTTTATTCTGAGTTGATTTTTGCATATGGTGTGAGATGACAGTCTAGTTTCATTCTTCTACATGTGGATATTCAGTTGTCCCAATACCATTTATTGAAGAGACTATGCTTTACCCATTGTTGGTTCTTGGCACCTTTGTTGAAAATCAATTGACCATGAATGTGTGGATTTGTTTCTGGGCTATTTTGTCAATGCATCTGTTTTTATGTCAGTACCATGTTGTTTTGATTACTATGGCTTTGTAGTATATTAGTATATTTTGAAATCAGATAGTATGATGCCTCCAGTTTTGTTCTTTTTGCTCACAATTGCTTTGGCTATTCAAGGTCTTTTGTGGTTCCATATGAATTTAAGGATTTTTTTTTCTGTTTCTGTGAAAAATGTAAGGAAATTTTGATAGGGATTGCATCAAATCTGCAGATCACTTTGGGTAGTACAGACATTTTAACAATATTGATTCTTATAATCTATAAACACAGGATATCTTTCCATTTGTTTGTGACTTCTTCAATTTCCTTCATCAGTGTTTTATAGTTTTAAGCGTATAGGTCTTTCACCTCCTTTGTTAAATGTATTATTTTACTTATTTACTTATTTTTAGCTATTGTAAATGAGATTGTTTTATTGGTTTCATTTTCAGATAGTTCTTTGTTAGTGTGATGCTACTGATTTTTGTATGTTGATTTTTGTATCCTGCAACTTTACAAGATTCCTTTATTTTTTTTTCAGTACAATCTGTATTCTGTTGCAACTAGATTTCTTTATTACTTCATAGTTTTTAAGTGGAGTTATTATGGTTTTCTATTTATATAATCATGTCATCTACAAACAGTGACAATTTACATTTTTCCTTTCCAATTTGGATGATTTTTATTTCTTACTCTTGCCTAATTGCTGGCTAGAACTTCAGTACTATGTTGAATAGAAATGGTTAGAGTGGACCTCCTTGTCTTGTTCCTGGTCTTAGAGGAAAAAAATTTCAACTTTTCACCATTGAGAATGATATTAGCTATGAGTTTGTCATATATGACCTTCATTGTGTTGAGGTGCATTCCTTATTTGTTGAGAGTTTTTTTTTAAATCACGAAAGGATGTTGAATTTTGTCAAATGCTTTTTCAGAGTCTATTGAGATATTAATATGGTTAGTATTCTTCATTCTGTTAAAGTGGTATGTCACATTTTTAGATTTGAGTATGTTGAAACATCTTGCATCCTTGGAATAAAACCCACATGATCATGATAAAAGACCCTTTTAATGTGCTGTTGCATTCATTTTGCTAGTATTTTGCTGAGGATGTTTATAGGCTATTTGTCATTGTTGCTGCTGTTGAGTTGTAGAAGCTCCTTATATATTCTGGATATTAACTTCTTACTGAAAAGATAATTTGCAAATATCTTATTTCATATTGTTTTTCACTCTGTTGATTGTTTTCATTGATGTGCAGAAATGTTTAAGTTTGATGAAGTTGGATTTGTGTATTTTTTGTTGCCTGTTTTTGGTCATATCCAATAAATTGTTGCAAAATTTAATGTCATAAAGTTTTCTTCTATGTTTGATAGAACTTCTAGGAGTTTGATACTTTTAGCTCTTACATTTAGGTCTTTTATCCATTTTGAGTTAATTTTTGTATTTGCATATGGTGTCAGGTAAGAATCCAACTTCATTATTTTCCATGTGGATATCCAGTTTTCCCAACGCAATTTGTCGAAGAGATTGACCTTTCCCCATTGTATACTCTTGGCACCCTGGTGGAAGATCATTTGACCATATACTTGAGGGTTTACTTCTGGAATAGACAGTTGACATTGGGGTACTCAGAAAACAGCAAGAATCTAAGAGTGTTTGAGGGTCTATTCTTAGAAAAAAACCTTTTTCATACCTCATAATCTCTGCTTTTGTGAATCCTTTCTATCTTTGAAAACAAAATCCATACTTATTCATTCATTTATCATTCATTCATTTACTCACTTACTTAACTCGATTTTATTGAGCACTTAGTGGCAGGATTCAGAGTAAAGACCCCCCTGTAGGACTTACGTCCTTCAGTTATCCTCAGTTTTTAATGATTCATGTTTCATCTTAGCTCCTGTAACTCTTCCATATGGTCGTTCATTTACTGTACCCATAGTGTCCCGTATTTGCATGGGACTCAAATATATATGTCTTGAATCTAGACAAGGGATATTGTGTTTTAAGAAGTTATAACAATGAACAAATTCCATTCGCCCAGAGCAACTTTCTAATGGATTATATATATATATATATATATATTTTTTTTTTTTTTTTTTTTTTTTTTTTTGAGACAGAGTCTCGCTCTGTCGCCCAGGCTGGAGTGCAGTGGCCCGATCTCGGCACACTGCAAGCTCCGCCTCCTGGGTTCACGCCATTTTCCTGCCTCAGCCTCTCGAGTAGCTGGGACTATAGGCGCCCGCCACCGCGCCCGGCTAATTTTTTGTATTTTTAGTAGAGACGGGGTTTCACCGTGGTCTCGATCTCCTGACCTCGTGATCCGCCTGCCTTGGCCTCCCAAAGTGCTGGGATTACAGGCGTGAGCCACCACGCCCAGCTCTAATGGATAAATTTAAGACACAACTATAAGATGGGAGTGGCTGAAAAAGCAGGGACTTCCTAATGCCCTGAAATCATGTGATAACTTTTTATCTTCTCTAAGACTGTCTGGCATGGTTTTCTCTTCTATTATTTTTGACAAATGTGGTACCTCTAGGCGTGAGTTTTTCTTTCACTTCTCATTTCTCCAACCACAAATGCTGTCACAGGCCAACAGGGAGAATTCAGTGATACATCATACTCATCCCTGAGCTGTGATGTTGGCTCTCCACCTCTATCAGCCATCAGATTTTCATATTATCTTGCCTCTCTCTTCCTCTTTCCTTACACCAAACATTGATTCATCAAGGAGTCTTACCACTTTACTATACTTCCATTTCAACTCACACTCAAATTCATCACTGATAATGTCTACTTTATAAAATATTCCTTCAAAGCAGCCATTGGCCTAATCCCCAGATGATGCCATTGATCCATGACAATAGGGAGAATAATGTCTCCATCATTACTTTCTTCTCATAGTCTTTTAATTCCTTATACAGAGGCTAGTTTCAACTGCAGAAGTAACATGGGGTCCTTTGTCTATCAAACACTCCCCTTGTAACATTCATATCTGCTCTGGGACAGAAATCTGTCCTTTGGACACCAGAGTAGGAGGTTTAAGAAAGGCCAAACGTTGATACAATCCAACTGATGTAGAGTGATAAGGAAGGCAGTCAGGCAGCATGAGGAAGTGGGAGGATGGGAGTTACAGAGAATTTCTGATGTAGACAATGAGCTTCTTTTCTTTTTCTTAAGGGATTTCCACAATCCTCCACTTTGTGGTATTGGGGACAGTGGTAATGACAGGGTGGGAAGGGCAGAAGAGGCTTATTTCAAGAGGAAGCAGTAAAAGGTGGGCCTGTGAGGACCTGTTTAGCAGGCTTTAACATCCTATGTACAAGTCCTTATCTTTTGAAGTGCTCTCCTGATCCAGGCCCTGCTTATCATTATTCACAAATTTCAGTGTCTGAAATAATCCAGAAGGTGGACAATCAGACATCCACAGATTAATTGATGATTTATACTTATTCTCCCTCTCTCCCCACTCTCTCTCCCTTTCTCTTCTCTCTCTCCTCCTCTCCCTCCCCTCCCTCCCTCCCCCTCTCTCCTTCTCCATCTCTCCCTCTCCATCTCTCCCTCTTCATCTCTTCCTCCCCTTCCCTCCCCTCCCCTCTCCCTCTTCATCTCTTCCTCCCCTTCCCTCCCCTCCCCTCTCCTTTCTGTCTCTCTCAGCTCCAAAAAAGAATGATACAGAGATGCATAACACTCCTCTCTCTCCCATCTGAAAATTTAGGGATGGGGTGGGGTCCTAAGAAGCTAGCCTTAGAATCTCTTCCTCTTACTGTGGTTTCCTTAACCCTCCATCATCTCATAACTAATGATAAGTCTGAAAATGAGCTTCCGTATTAATTCTCATTATTCTGACAACAGACTCTAGAATCCAGCCATATTCTACTGTTTGGAGCCAGCCAGGGACTTTCCAAGTATTCACAGTGAAACACTGGCTTCCATGCCTGGGTCTCCCCACCCACTGCCTCTGCACTTGGTGCCTTTGAACCTCTCTTGTTCCTCTTGCCCTTGCTACTTCTGTATAGATCACAAGCTCCCTCCACACAGCTTCAGTTACACACATCCGTGCAGCAGGACCTTCTCAGGGGCTTAGTCTGCCAGAAACTAGTGACACTGCCTTTCACCCACTTTTTATTGGATAGAGAGAAATGTTACCAGAATTTCCCAGGAAAAGAGCTTCTTTGAAGTCTCTACATGCATTCAGATAAATCCTTTCCCCTGATATTTTCCCTCCATCCCCCTCCTCACAGCCCTGTTCAGAAGCCTGAACATGTCATGATGGCTGGGGCCTCAAATCCAGGGGACAATATGAGGTGAAGGTGAGCAAGGAGACAGTCTACAAAGAGGCCGTGGAAGCTGTCGGGGAAGGAGAATGTTCAAGTAGCACAGGCAATCAAACACTTCCTATTGCTCCAGGTGCCAAAGCAGGAATGAAAACCTGTCCCCTCTGTTGAATACTCTTCTTCTTCACTCCTAAAACTACACACCTGATGTTAGTCGTCAGCCCTCTTCTTATCACTCTACACCTGCTGCTCTGGAGAACTCATCCAGGCCTGTGGCTCCCTGCACGTCTACACTAGTAACCTCTGAATCCACGGTCTCCAGCACTCCCTCCTGCTCCCATCCCCAGGTGGCAGTCAGGTGCCTGCACTTGGCTATCTCAACATCAACATCACCCCAACACCTGTTTTTTCATGCATTCAAGGGAGATTTTTTTTCTCCCCAAGTTTCTTTCACCTTCCCTTTGGGGTTCCTGGAATAAATAATACAAAACTTGAGGTTCTCTTGTGATGCTGTTTGGAGTCGAGAGAGAGACAGAGAGAGAGAGATACCCCCAGGAGGGAGTTGTCCCGATTCTTTTCCATCACTCGGGAGCTAGCCCTACATCTAGTCTTACTGTTTGGAGCCTTATAAAAAGATCTCATGAGCAGCCCCCTGGGAATAGCATGTCTTTGTTCTCTGAGAGGCAATGATTTTTATCTGGACCCCACATAACTTTTCCCCAGAGAGCATCACAGTAAAAGCACATGTTTATCTTCTCTCCTTAACTTCTGACATCCTTAAATCCCAAGGAAGGGTATGGAGGGAGACAGATTGATGATTCTGTGTATTTGGGTAAACCAGGTTCCTGGCTAAAATCACTTAGTCAAAAATGCCAAGCATGGTCAAGGGAGAAGGGTTAGAGAGTCTAAAAGAATGAAATTTGGAGACAGGTAAACTTGAAATTTATTCTTTCCTTCACCTATTATTGTGTATGTGATTTGGGGTCATATTCTTAACTATAACTACCTATTGCCTCATCTTAGAATAAGGATAAATAATATCTATGTTGAAACACTGCTGTGAGCATTAGTGCTCAATAACTATTACTACTGTACTAATGCAGGTTCTTGATTTTAAACAATAGAATGCAAACTTGAATAATTAAGCAGAAAAGGCATTTATTGGAAAGGAACTAAATAGCTCATAGAGGATATGACAAAGGCAGGAGTTCTTCATAGTTGATATTGTATCTCCGTGCATTGAATCAGGAGACACATGATGTTGATTTGTTCTGTTATCAGTGATGCTAATTTTGACTACTTGATTTTAGTGGTAACTGACAGATTTTTTCAACCATAAAGTTACTATTTTCATTGCTTGATTTTCGTATATTAAACTTACCCTGTGATGCTAATTTTGACTACTTGATTTTAGTGGTAACTGACAGATTTTTCAACCATAAGTTACTATTTTCATTGCTTGATTTTCATATATTAAACTTACCCTATGTTCATAGAATAAACTCAACTTGGTCATTATTTTACCTAGTGTTATATTTAATTGACTAATAGATCTTTTAGGAGTTTTGTATCTGTGTTTAAAAATGAGATGAGCCTTACTTTTGCTTTTTTGTTTTTGTTTTTGCTTCATGCTTATGAGGATTTGGCATATTGCTGCATGAGTTGAGAAATGTTCCTTTATTCCCCCGTCTTTTGGAATCGCTTGTGTAAGGTTAGCAAATGCCTTCACTGAATATTTAGAAGAATTCACCCAATAAGATCATCTTTGCCTACAGATTTCTTTGTGGAAAGTTTTGTAATTACCAACTCAATTTCTTTAATAGATACAGGATTATGAAAATTTTTCTATTATTTCTTGAGTTCATTTTAGTAAGTGGTGTTTTCTAGAATATGTCTATTTCATCTAGCTTTTCAAATTTGTCAGCATAAAGTTATTTATAATATTTTCTATTGTAATTTTAATGTCTACAGGACCCATAATGACAGTACCTTTTTCATTCCTGATATTGGAATTTCATGCCTTCTGTCTTGTTTTAAAATCTTCCACAGTCTTGCTAAAATTTTATCAATCCTATTAGTCTTTTCAAAGAAACAAGCCTTTAGTGTTGTTGATGTTTTTCTACTGTATTATTATTTCCTATCAAATTATTTTCTTCTTTTATGTATATAATTCCCTTACTTTTACTTTTCTTGGGTTAAATTTGACATTCTTTTTCTAAGTATATGATTGATTTTCAGTATTTCTTTCTTTCCAATTAATTATATGCACTTAAGGTTGCATATAATTTTTGTCTAGACCTGACTTCAGCTTCATCTTATGTTATAATATTTTGTAATGCAAGTATAATTTGCAATATTTTCAATTTTCTTTCTTCCTTCCTTCTTTTCTTTTTCTTTCCTTTCCTTTTCTTTTCTTTCAAGACAGGGTCTCACTCTGTTGCCCTGGCTGGAGTGCAGTGGTGCTGTCATATCTCACTGCAGCCTTGGACTCCTGGGCTCAAGTGATCCTCCCACCTCAGCCTCCTAAGAAGCTAGGACCTCAGGCATGCAGCACCACACCAGCTAACTTATATTTTATTTTTCGTAGAGATAGGATCTCATCATGTGGTCCAGGCTGGTTTTGAACTTCCTAGGCTCAAGCAATCCTCTTGCCTTAGCCTCCCAAAGTACTGGGATTACAGGCATGAGCCACCACACCCAACTGATATTTTCAATTTTTTATTGTCAGGGATCTGATAATAATTAGATTTAATCTCTGATTATCTTCTTTGATCTATGGATTATTTTAATTTGTATTTCTTAATTTCTAAACTCTTCAAAATTTTTTGGTTATCTTTCTGTAATTGATCTCTAGCTCTGTTCTATTTTTGTCAAAGAACATTATAAAAGATAAAATACTTTGAAATATTGTATTCTTTTTCATTGTTTTAGTAGTTATGTTTTTCGAGAAATTTGTCTTTTTTTTTTTTGACAGGTTGCTATGTTGCCCAGGCTACAGTGCACGATAACCCCATACTCCTGGGTTCAGGCAATCCTCCTGCCTCAACTTCCCTAGTAGCTGGTACTACAGATGTGTGCCACCCTGCCCAGCACAAAATGTGTCCATTTTATCTAGATTATCTAATTGTTGGCACGCAATTGTACACAGTATTCCCTTATATTGTTTTTCATTTCTGTAAAGTGGTAGAAAGGTCTCATCTTTTATTCCTGATTTGAGTAATTCAATTCCTTTCTTTTTTTTCTTACTCAATCTAGCTAAAGTTTCCTCAGTTTTGATTCTTTAAAAGCAAAAACTTAGTTTTGTTGATTTTCTCTATCTTTTTCTATTTCCTAGTTCATTTATTCCCATTCTAACATTCCTTTCACTAGTTCTGGTTTGTCTTACTCATTTCTAATTTCTTTTCTTTTCTTTTCTTTTTTTGTTTGTTTATTTGTTTGTTTGAGACAGGGTTATTTTTTTGAGATGGAGTCTTGCTCTGTCACCCAGGCTAGAGTGCAGGGGCCTGATCTCCACACACTGCAACCTCCCCATCCCGGGTTCAAACGATTCTCCTGTCTCAGCCTCCCGAGTGGCTGGGGTTATAGGTGCCTGCCACCACGCCAGGCTAATTTTTGTATGTTTAGTAGAGATGGGGTTACATCATGTTGGCCAGGCTGATCTCAAACTCCTGACTTCAAGCAATCCACCCTCCTTGGCCTCCCAGAGTGCTGGGATTACAGAGTGAGCCACCGCACCCGGCCTCTTTTCTAATTTCTTAAAGTGGAAGGTTGTTACTGATTTGCAATTTTTCTTCTTTTTTAATGTAGGTATTTACAGCTATAACTTTCTCTTTTATCATTAAAATGTCCTTACTTTTCTCTAGTGGTATGTTTGTATTAAGGTCTATTTTGTCTGGCATTAGTGTAGCCACTCCAGCTTTCTTTTGGTTGCTCTTTACATGGTGTATCTTTTCCTGCCTTGTACTTTCAACCTCTTTGTAACTTTGTATCTAAGGTTTGTCTCCAGCAGAGAATATATAGTTGCATCATTTTTATTTTATCCATTCTGCTAACCTGTCTAAATTGAAATGTAATGTATTTATATTTAGTGTGATTACTGTAACATATTTTTATGTCTGCCATTTCATTGTTTATTTTCTATTTTTCTTATATCTTTTTTGTTCCTCTATTCCTCTATTACTGCTTTTTGTTGTGTTAAATAGACATTTTCTATGTATCATTTTAATTCACTTATCATTTCTTTTACTCTACATTTTTAGTTCCTCTACTTTTTTGTCTTAGTGACTACCCTACAGATTAAAATTAGCATATTAATAATCTAGTTTGTATTAATACCAACTTAATTTCAATAGTATACAAACACTTTATTTCTATACAGCTCTGTTCCCTACCCCCGTGCTGTTATTGTCATACAAATTATACCATTCTTACATGTGTGCCTATCAACACAGATTTATAAATATTGTTTGCTGAAGTTTTAAATTAAATAGGAGAAAAAGTCATTAAAAAGTACATTTATATTGTCTTTTATATTCACCTATTTCAGTTACCTTTTTGGTGTCTTTATTTCCTTACATGGATTTGACTATATTACACTATATTCTAGTGTCCTTTCACTTCAGCCTGAAAGTATTTTAGTACAGCTGTCTTGCTAATGATGAAATCTCTGTTTCTTTTTACCTGAAAATGTCTTAATTTCTCCTTCATTTAGAGTTTTTGGCTGACAGCTTTTCCCCTCAGCACTTTGAATAAGTCTTTCAATTGCATTCTAGCCTCCATGGTTCTCTTTCTTTCTCTTCCTTCCTTTCTTTCTCTCTCTCTCTCTTTCTTTTTATCTTCCTCTGTCTCTCTTTTTTATGTTTTTACTTTTTTCTTTTAAATAGGGATGGAGTGTTGAACTCCTACACTCAAGCAATCCTCCCACCTCAGCCTCCCAAAGTGCTAGGATTAAAGGCATGAGTCACCGCACCTGACCCTCCATGGCTTCTAATGAAAGATCATCTGTCAATCTTCTTGCTTGAATGTGATAAGTCATTTCTCTCTTAATGGTTTCAAGATATCTTTGTCTTCAACTTTCAACAGATTGATTACAATGTGTGTAGGTGTGGATCTCTTTGAGTTTATTCTACTTATAGTTCATTAAGATTCTCAGATATGTAGATTAACATTTTTTATCAAATTTGCAAAGTTTTCAGCCATTATTTCTTCAAATATTTTTTCTGGCACCCTTTTTTTCATTTTAGGACTACAGTTATACATATTTTGGTCTGCTTGATGGTGTTCTACAGGTCTCTGAGGATCTGTTCATTTTTCTTTTCCCATTTTTCTTCTTCTTCCTCAAACTGGATAATCAAAATTAACCTACATTTAACTTTGTTGATTATTTCTTCTGCCTTGCTCAAATCTGCTGTCAAGCCAGTCTGGTGAAATTTTCATTTCTGTTATTGTATTTTTCAACTCCAGAATTTCTATTTGGTTCTTTTCTTATATAATTCCTGTTGCTGTAGTCTCTATTGGGTGGTGAGACATCATTCATATGCTTGCCTTTAGTAAACATGATTTCCTTCCATTCTTTGAATATATTTTAAATGCTTATTTAATGTCTTTGTCTAGTAAGTCTAAATGCTGGGCTTCCTTAGAGACATTTTTTATTTATTAATTTCCCCCCTATGTACAGGCCATGCTTTATTATTTCTTTGCATGTCTTGTAATTTTTGTTGAAAACTAGATATTTTGTGTAATATAATGTGGCAACCCAGATAATGAGATTCTTCCCTCGCTTTCCCTTCTAGGGTTTGCTTTCATTGTTTGTTGTTGTTTTATTTTGTGACTTTTCTGAACAAATCTTGCAAAGTCTGATTCTTTGTTATGTGTAGCTATTACATTTTTTCTCAGTTAGCTTAGTGGTCACCTAATGTTTGAACAAAGGTTTCCTAAAATGCCTGGAATAAACATATCTCCTAGTCTTTCCTGGGGAGCTTTTTCTTTGTTTTGTGTTCCTATAAGAGAATACCTGAGATGAAGTAATTTATAAAGAAAAGAGGTTTATTTTACTCATGGTTCTGCAGGCTGGAAAGTTCAATATTAGACAGCTGATTTGGTGGCTTCTGCTGAGGTCCTTGTGCTGTGTCAAAACATGGCAGAGAAACAAAAGGAGAACGAGGTATATGTGAACAGGACAAAACAAGAGAGGCAAACTCACTTTATAACAACCCACTCTCAAGGGAACTTCATAACTAACCCAGTCTTTCAAGAAAGACACCAATCCAACTTAATGACCTAAGCACCTCTTAAAGGCACCATCTCCCAACACCACCAGATTGGGAACCAAGCCTCAAAATAAGTTTTGATGAGGACAAGCCATATTCAAACCACAGCAGGTTCTGTGTGCATGTTGGTGATACCTTCAACACTCAGCCAGACAGTTGACAACTCCACTTTACCCTTTATTTCCTCCTTGTACAGAGCACCAAGGCCAGTCCAAGAAGAAAGCTTACAATCTTCTCAGGTCTTTCCTAAGTATGCACCCCATCCTACATATGTACATGGCCTTCTAGATTTCCAGGAATATGATGGAAATAATCAAAGCCCCTTGGACATCTCATTTCCCAGATTTTCCCTTTAAGCTTTTTATTTAATCTCTTGTTTTCCTCAACTGTTATCCACTGCCTCAGGCAATTCGGTTGCCTTTAATTGTTTCCAATAAATATTTTCATGGAAAAGGATTTTTGCACCGGGCAAGTTCCCAATCAGGTCAAATGAGAACTACTTTGCAAATTGGGTATTCCAGGAAACCACCAGACAGGTAAAATAATGACAATTCTCTGATCACAAGATTTTGGAAAAGCCCCAGCTCTGTTCTGCTCCCTCCAGGCTGCTGATTTTCACCATGATTACAGCTTGTTGGTTCTCAAGTCTACTGCAGAACCCGAGAGGACAGAATGGGAATTGTACAAGTTAAAATGTCACAAAACTGTTCTTATTGAGATTGCACCATTTTTCTTTAGTAAATGTTCTCTGGATTGCTGCAAGACTTTGGTTAATTTCCAGAGTTCTGAAAGAGTTGATTTTTTTTTCAATTTTTGTCACTTTTCTTGTTGCTTTTATGGAGAGGAGAGTTTTTGGAGGTTCTTACTTTGTTATTTTTGCCAATATTGACCCATCTATAGGAGTTTTTAAAAATTTATATCATCATTTTTTAGTTCTAGAATTTCTATTAATTCTTTTCTATACATTCTATTTCTTTAATAAAATTTTTCATTATGATTTCTATTATCTTTTTACATATTCATTATAGCTATTATAAAGTTTATCTCTAATCCAATAATTAAGTTATTCATTATTTTTCTCAGTGATGCACTTTTCTTCCAGAAGGAATTAGCCCTATCCTCTGTTAGGCATATAGAGTAGAAAATGATCCTTATTTTAATCTGGAATGGATCTGACTTGAAGCAGAGTTTAAGCTTTTTCTGGCTGTCATTGTCTACTGTTTCACTGACATCCTGATCCCTTAAATTTGGCAGCCCCAGATACCATTCTTTGTCTCTCCATGGCCATAAGTTGTTTGCTAGAATTATCAGTCTGTTGCTCTGCCCTAAAAATAAGATAATCTTTAGGAGTAAAGCAACTGGAGAATGTTGGCTCCTCTCTTGTTATCTTCTTTTCATGATCTTGTCTTCTCAAGCTGTCATCACCTTGAGAGTTTTATGATTCCCTCAAGCGTATATTTTTTGTAGTTTTTTTTCCTTTGAGAGGGGGTCTTGCTCTGTCACCCAGGCTGGAGTGCGGTGGTGTGATCATAGCTCACTGCAGACTCAGCTTCCTGAGCTCCAGTATTCAAGCAATCCTCCTGCCTCAGATTCCCAAGTAGCTAGGACTATAGGCATGGGCCACCATGCCCAGTTGATTTTTTATTTTTATAGAGTCTGGGTCTTGCTATGTTGCCCAAGCTGGTCTTAAGACTCCTAGGCTCAAGTGATCCTCCTGCCTTGGCCTCCTGAAGTGCTGGGATTACAGGTATGAGCCACTGTGCCTGGCCTATTTTTTGTGTTTTATCTGGCTTTACTCATTATTATTGGAAGGAACATTAATATTGTACAAGCTATTCCATCATAGCCAAAAAGAGGAAGGCAATCTACGGTATTGTTTTTTATTGACAACTGGGGATAGAATTGGAAACTCAGGTCTTTCTACTAGTCTCTTCCTTCATAATCTCTTATTTCAGAAGTGGAAGTTGATATTGGACATCTTCCAGTAGCCAAGTGTATATATTGCATTAATATAGTATGGATCTGGGAGATAACCGAATGATGTGTTATGACTACCATAATCTACCACTTTGACCAGCAAACCATAGTCACTCCTTGTTGGGAGAATACAATGGATCAAACATACATTATGTCTGGGACTAGAAGAAAAATAATTTTATTCCTCTTCAGTTACTATACGGTAATCATTAATCTTAGATACTCCTAGAATTAATGACACTCATTAACCAGTTTATCATTGATGTCATTGTTGTCATAGTAAATTAGAAATGAGGGATTATCTTCATCAATGTCAGTATTTCAAGTAATACCAGCAAGAAATTAATAATAACCTGTATAGATGTGCTTGGGCAGATTCATTTGAGGCTGGGGAGAGAGAATAGCCAAGTACATCAAGTACATGGTCTGGTAAAAGTAAGGCGTCCAGTATGGCTAAAGTGTAGTGTACAATAGCGTGACAGAGAGTAAATGACTAGAATAATGAGTTGATGCCTTTTATTTACTACTTCTCTGCCTCTCACTGGGTAGAGAGGAGGTAAACAATATCAAATGTTGGCAAGTAACAATATCTTATTATGGCTTTACATTGAAGAATCAAGGCCTATAGTGATTAGTAAGCACATAAAACACAATATTGAGAGTTCTAAGATCATTAGTATAAGAATCAGTCATCCTTAGTTTAAACCTATCTATGTCCCTGATTAAGCCCGTGTAATAATTTAACTATGCATGGAGTGAATGTAAAGCCATAAATACATTTTCTACCTTGTGTATCCCCAACTTAACTTTCCCTTATTTGAATCTCTGAAATATCTATGGTCACTCTATTGCCGCCTAACAAGGGGCAAAATGTATGATGGATGAGAAGTCAGAATGAAGAAATACAACAGTCTTAACAATTTGCTGTTAAATTATCTTACTTTTTGCAGATTGTACAAAAATATATGATGTTAAAAGGCTCCTGCAAGAAGGGGTCCCGAATATTAAGTCTTTTTAGATTAAAGGTAAGTCAGCCTCTGTATAAGGACAATTTCATTCCTATACTTGCTCTTATTTTCTTTCCTTTTTCTCTGGATTTGGCTCTCTCCTATCTTCTTTTTCTTGTCACTCTATTTATTCATCTTTTTTTTGCCTATTTACCAACTGGTTGTAATTTAGAAATGAAAAATATGTATCTTAATATTTTGATGTATTCATTTACGTAATAATGTAAGTTCTGAAGATTTGGAATGTATAAGTGAAAATGTCATTATGCTTTGTTTCTGTAAAATAAAAACTAAACTACATGTTTGGGTTGGGGGCTTTGGTTTTTGTTTTTAGTTCTAAAATTTTTTGATACATTATATTTGAACATATTCATGGGTTATATGTGATATTTTGTTACATGCATGCAATGTAATGATGAAGTCAGGGTGTTTAGGGTATCTATCACCCACAATTTATCATTTTTATGCATTGAGTACATTTCAAGTCCTCTCTTCTAGTTTTTTTGAAAAATACTACACATTGTTGTTAACTATAGTCACCCTACTCTGCTATCAAACACTGGAATTTATTCTTTATATTAGTATAGGTTCATAACCATTAACCAACATCTCTGTATCTCCGTCCACTTCCTAGTCTCTGGTATCTATCATTCTACTCTCTACCCTGATGTGATCAACTTTTTAAACTCCCACATACGAGTGAGAACATGTGATATTTGTTTTTTTGTGCCTGGCTTATTTCACTTAACATTATGACGTCCACTTCCATCCATGTTACTGCAAATGACATGATTTCATCTTTTTAAATGGCTGAATACTTTCATTGTCTATATATACTACATTTTCTTTATCCATTCATCCATTCATGGACCCTTAGGTTGATTCCATATCTTGGCTCTTGTGAATAGTGCTGCAATAAAGAATGTGTGTATCCCTTTGATACATTACTTTCTTTTCCATTTGGATAAATACTAATTAGTGAGATTGCTTGATTGTGTAGTAGTTCTATTTTTAGTTTTTTGAGAAATCTCCATATTATTTTCCATAGTGGCTGTACTTACTTACATTCCAAGCAATGGTGAATAAGAGTTCCCTTTTCTCCATATCCTTGCCAACACCTGTGGTTTTTTTGTTTTGTTTGTTTGTTTGTTTTGTCTTTTTCATAGTAGCCATCCCAACTGGGGTAAAATGATATCTCATTGTGGTTGTTTGTTTTGCTTTTGTAGTGATGGGATCTCACTACTTTGCTTAGGCTGGTCTCAAACTCCTGGCTCAAGCGATCCTCCCACCTTGGCCTCTGAAAGTGTCGGCATTACAGTCATGAGCCACTGTGGCCTGACTTCATTGTGGTTTTGATTTGCATTTCCCTGATGATTAGTAATGTTGAGCATTCTTTCATGTACCTGTTGACCATTTATATGTCTTCTTTTCTTTCTCTTGCTCTCTCTCATTTTTCTTTTCTCAATGAAGAGAACAAATGCCTGTCTTCTTTTGGGAAATGTCTGTTCATGTTCTTTGCTCATTTTAAAAATGGGGTTATTAATTAATTAATTAATTAATTTAATTATTTATTTTTGAGACTAGATCTTGCCCAGGTTAGTGTGCAGTGGTCCCATAGTTCACTGCAGCATCAAATTCCTGGGTTCAAGCTATCCTTTTGCCTCAGTCCTTCAGCTGGGACTACAGGCTCATGTCACCATACCAGGCTATTTGGTTCTTTTTAATTTTAGTAAGAGACTGAAGTCTAGCTATGCTTCCTGGGCTGATCTTGAACTCCTGGACTCAAGAGATCCTCCTGCTGTAGGCCCCCAAAGTGCTGACATTACAGGCATTAGCCACCACACCTGGCCAGGATTATTTATTTTTTTACTATGAAGATGTTTGATTTCCTTGTATATTCTGGATATTCATCCCCTGTTGGATGAGTAGCTTGCATATATTTTCTCCCATTTAAGAGGTTTTCTCTTCACCCTGTAGATTGTTTCTTTTGCTGTGCAGAAGCTTTTTAGTTTAATATAGTTCCATTTGTCCATTTTTGGTTTTGTTACTGGTGCTTTTGAGATCTTAGTCATAAAATCTTTGCCTAGACCTATTTCCTGAAGAACTTTTTCTATGTTTTCTTCTAGCAGATTTATAGTTTCAGGTATTACATTTAAGTCTTTAATCTATCTTGAGTTGATTTTTGTATATGGTGAGAAGTAGGGGTCCAGTTTCATTCTTCTGCATATGGTTATCCAGTGTTCCCAGCACCATTTATAGAAAAGGATGTCATATCCCCAATGAATATTCTTCATAGCTTCATTGAATGTAAGTCAGCTATAAATATGTGGATTTATTTCTGGGTTTTCTATTCTGTTCTATTCTTTTTTAAAAAAAATTTATTTCTATAGGTTATTGGGAAACAGGTGGTGTTTGGTTACATGAGTGAGTTCTTTAGTGAAGATTTTTGAGACTTTGGTGCACCCATCACCCAAGCAGTATACACTGCAACCAATTTGTAATCTTTTATCCGTCACCCCCTTCCCACCCTTTCCTGCAGAGTCCCCAAAGTCCATTGTGCCATGCTTATGCCTTTGCATCCTCATAGCTTAGTTCCCACTTATGAGTGAGAACATACAATGCCTGGTTTTCCCTTCCTGAGTTACTGCACTTAGAATAATAGTCTCCAATCTCAAACAGGTCACTGCAAATGCCATTAAATCATTCCTTTTTATGGCTGAGTAGTATTCCATCATATATATATATTCCATCATATATATATATATATTCCATCATATATATATATATATTCCATCATATATATATATTCCATCATATATATATATATATTCCATCATATATATATATATATTCCATCATATATATATATTCCATCATATATATATATATTCCATCATATATATATATATTCCATCATATATATATATATATATATATTCCATCATATATATATATATATATTCCATCATATATATATATATATATATATATATATATATATATATATATATATCAAAGTTTCTTTATCCACTCATTGGGTTACTTCCACATTTTTGCAATTGTGAATCGTGCTGCTATAAATATGTGTATGCAAGTATCTTTTTTGTATAATGACTTCTTTTCCTCTGGGTAGATACCCAGTAGTGGGATTGCTGGATCAAATGGTAGTTCTACTTTTAGGACTCTTTAAGGAAACTCCACACTGTTTTCCATAGTGGTTGTACCAGTTTACATTCCCACCAGCAGTGGAAAATTGTTCTCTGTTCACCACATCCTTGCCAACATCTATTATTTTTTGATTTTTTGATTAAGGCCATTCTTTCAGGAGTGAAATGGTATTGCATTGTGGTTTTGATTTGCATTTTCCTGATTATTAGTGATGCTGAGCAATTTTTCTTATGTTTGTTGGCCATTTGTATGTCTTTTTTTGAGAATTGTCTATTCATGCCCTTAACTCATATTTTATGGGATTGTTTGTTTTTTACTTACTAATTTGTTTGGGTTCATTGTAGATTCTGGATATTAGTCCTTTGTCATATGTATAGATTGTGAAGATTTTCTCCCACTCTGTGGGTTATCTGTTTACTCTGCTGACTGTTCCTTTTGCCGTGCAAAAGCTCTTTAGTTTAATTAAGGTCTCAGCTATTTATCTTTGTTCTTATTGCATTTACTTTTGGGTTCTTGGTCATTAAATCCTTGCCTAAGCCAATGTCTAGAAGGGTTTTTCCGATGTTATCTTCTAAAATTCTTATAGTTTCAGGTCTTAGATTTATGTCCCTGATCTACCTTGAGTTGATTTTTGTGTAGAGTGAGAGACATGGATCCAGTTTTATTCTCCTACATGTGGCTTGCCAATTATCCCAGCTCAATTTGTTAAATAGGGTGTTTTTTTACCACTTTATGTTTTTGTTTGCTTTGTCAAAGATCAGTTGGCTGTAAGTATTTGGGTTTATTTCTGGGTTCTCTATTCTGTTTTATTGGTCTATGTGCCTACATTTATACCAGTACCATGCTGTCTTGGTGACTATGGCCTTATATTATATTTTGAAATCAGGTAATGTGATGCCTCCAGATCTGTTCTTTTTGGTTAGTCTTGCTTTGGCTATGTGGGCTCTTTTTTGGTTCCATATGAAATTTAGAATTGTTTTTTCTAGTTCTGTGAAGAATGATGGTGGTATTTTGATGGGAATTGCATTGAATTTGTGACTGCCTTTTGCAGTATAGTCCTTTTCACAATATTGATTCTACCCATCCATGAGCATGGGATGTGTTTCCATTTGTTTGTGTCATCTATGATTTCTTTCAGCAGTGTTTTGTAGTATTCCTGGTAGAGATTTTTAGCCTCCTTGGTTAAGTATATTCCAAGCATTTTTTAAATTTATTTTCGGGAAACTATTGTAAAAGGGATTGAGTTCTTGATTTGATTCTCAGCTTGGTCATTGGTGTATAGTAGTGCTACTTATTTGTATACATTTATTTTGTAACCTGAAAATTTGCTGAATTCATTTTTCGGATCTAGGAGCTTTTTGGATGAGTCTTTAGGGTTTTTGAAGTATATGATCATATCATTAGTGAACAGTGATGGTTTGACTTTCTCTTTACCTATTTGTATGTCCTTTATTTCTTTCTCTTGTCTGATTATTCTGGCTAGGACTTCCAATCCTATGTTTTGTCTTTTTTTTTTTTAATTTGTAACTTCCCTTTTCTTTTTCTTTTTTTATTTTTATTATTATTATACTTTAAGTTTTAGGGTACATGTGCACAATGTGCAGGTTAGTTACATATGTATACATGTGCCATGCTGGTGTGCTGTACCCATTAACTTGTCATTTAGCATTAGGTATATCTCCTAATGCTAACCCTCCCCCCTCCCCCCACCCCACAACAGTCCCCAGAGTGTGATGTTCCCCTTCCTGTGTCCATGTGTTCTCATTGTCCAATTCCCACCTATGAGTGAGAACATGCGGTGTTTGGTTTTTTGTCCTTGCGATAGTTTACTGAGAATGATGATTTCCAATTTCATCCATGTCCCTACAAAGGACATGAACTCATCATTTTTTATGGCTGCATAGTATTCCATGGTGTATATGTGCCACATTTTCTTAATCCAGTCTATCATTGTTGGACATTTGGATTGGTTCCAAGTCTTTGCTATTGTGAATAGTGCCGCAATAAATATACGTGTGCATGTGTCTTTATAGCAGCATGATTTATAGTCCTTTGGGTATATACCCAGTAATGGGATGGCTGGGTCAAATGGTATTTCTAGTTCTAGATCCCTGAGGAATTGCCACACTGACTTCCACAATGGTTGAACTAGTTTACAGTCCCACCAACAGTGTAAAAGTGTTCCTATTTCTCCACATCCTCTCCAGCACCTGTTGTTTCCTGACTTTTTAATGATCGCCATTCTAACTGGTGTGAGATGGTATCTCATTGTGGTTTTGATTTGCATTTCTCTGATGGCCAGTGATGGTGACCATTTTTTCATGTGTTTTTTGGCTGCATAAATGTCTTCTTTTGAGAAGGGGTGAAAGTCAGCATTCTTGTCTCCTTCCAGTTCTCAAGGGGAATGCTTTCAACTTCTCCCTGTTCAGTATAATTCTTTCTGTGGGTTTGTCATAGATGGCTTTCATTAAGTTGATGTATGTCCCTTCTATGCCAATTTTGCTCAGGGTTTTAATTATAAAGCGATGGTAAATTTTGTCAAATGTTTTTTCTGTGTCTTTTGAGTTGATGATGTGATTTTTGTATTTAACTGTGTTTATGTGATGTATCACATTTATTGACTTGCATATGTTAAACCATCCCTGCATCCCTGGTATGAAACCCACTTGATCATGGCGTATTATCTTTTTGACATGCTGTTGGATTCAGTTAGCTAGTGTTTTGTTGAGGATTTTTGCACCTATGTTCATCAGGGATATTGGTATGTGGTTTTCCTTTTTTTCTGCCTATTCCCAGTTTTAGTGTTAGGGTGATACTGGCTTCATAGAATGAATTAGGGAAAATTCTCTCTTTCTCTATCTTTTTGAATAGTTTCAGTAAGATTGATACCAATTCTTCTTTGACTGTCTGATAGAATTCAGCTGTGAATACATCTGGTCCTGGACTTTTTCTTTTGGGCAGTTTTTAAATTATTATTTTAATCTCACTACTTGCTATTGGCCTGTTCAGAGTTTCTATTTCTTCCTGATTTAATCTAGGAGGGTTGTATATTTCCAAGAATTTGCCCATCTCCTCTAGACTTTCTAGTTTGTCTGCATAAAGGTGTTCATAGTAGCCTTCAATGATCTTTTGTATTTCTGTGGTATCGGTTGCAATATCTCCTGTCTCATTTCTAATTGAGCTTATTTGGATCTTCTCTCTTCTTTTCTTGGTTAATCTTGCTAATGGTCTGTCAATTTTGTTTATTTGTTCAAAGAACCAGCTTTTCATTTCATTTATCTTTTGTATTCTTGGTTTCAATTTCATTTATTTCTGCTCTGAAATTTATTTCAATTTCATTTATTTCTTTGCTATTTATTTTATTCTGATGGGTTTGGGTTTGGTTTGTTCTTGTTTCTCTGGTTCCTTGAAGGGTGACCTTAGATTGTCTATGTTGACTTTTTGATGTCTAGATTGACTTTTTGATGTAGGCATTTAATGCTATGAACTTTCCTCTTAGCACCACTTTTGCTGTCTCCCAGAGTTTTTGTTTTTGTTTTGTTTTGTTTTTTTGAGAGTTTCGCTCTTGTTGCCCAGGCTGGAGTACAGTGGCACAATCTTGGCTCACTGCAACCACCACCTCCTGGGTTCAAGCAATTCTCCTGCCTCAGCCTCCCGAGTAGCTGGGATTATAGGCACACACCACCACACCCGGCTGATTTTTGTATTTTTAGTAGAGATGGGGTTTCATCATGTTGGCCAGGCTGGTCTCGAACTCCCGACCTCAGGTAATCCACCCACCTCGGCCTCCCAAAGTGCCAGGATTACAGGTGTGAGCCACCGTGCCCGGCCTTCCTAGAGTTTCTGATAAATTGTGTCACTATTATGGTTCAGTTCAAAGATTTTTAAAATTTCCATCTTGATTTCATTGTTGACCTAAAGATCATTCGGGAGCAGATTATTTAATTTCCATGTATTTGTATAGTTCTGAGAATTCATTTTGGATTCAATTTCCAGTTTTATTCCACTGTAGTCTGAGAGGGTACATCATATAATTTTGATTTTCTTAAACTTATTGAGACTTGTTTTGTGGCCTACCATAACGTCTGTCTTGGAGGATGTTCCACATGCTGATGAAAATAATGTATATTCTGCTGTTGTTGAGTAGAATGTTCTGTAAATATCTGTTAAGTCCATTTGTTCTACAGTGATATGGTTTGGATCTGTGTCCCCACCCAAACCTCACCTTGTAGCTCCCATAATTCCCACGTGTTGTGGGAGGCACCCTGTGGGAGATTACTGAATTATGGGGGTGGGTCTTTCCAGTGCTGTTCTTGTGACAGTGAATGGGTCTCAGTTGATCTGATAGTTCTGAAAACGGAGTTGCCCTCACAAGCTCTCTCTTTGCCTGCCACCATCCAAGGAAGATGAGACTTGCTCCTCCTTGCCTTCCACCATGATTGTCAGGCTTCCCCAGCCATGTGGAACTGTAAGTCCAATTAAACCTTTATCTTTTGTAAATTGCCCAGTCTCAGTTATGTCTTTATCGGCAGTGTGAAAACAGAATAATACAGTAAATTGGTACCGGTAGAGTGGGGCACCACAGAAAAGATACCCAAAAATGTGGAAGTGACTTTGGAACTAGGTAACAGGCAGAGGTTGCAAGAGTTTGGAGGGCTCAGAAGAAGACAGGAAAATGTGGGAAAATGTGGAACTTTCTAGAGACTTGTTGAATAATGATATGGACAATGAAATCCAGGCTGAGATGGTTTCAGATGGAGATGAGGAACTTGTTGGGAACTGAAGCAAAGGTGACTCTTGTTATGTTTTAGCAAAGACACTGGTGGCATTTTGCCCCTGCCCTAGAGATTTGTGGGACTTTGAACTTGAGAGAGATGATTTAGGGTATCTGGCAGAAGAAATTTCTAAGCAGCAAAGCATTCAAGAGGTGACTGGAGTGCTGTTAAAAGCATTCAGTTTTAAAAGGGAAACAGCATAAAAGTTTGAAAAATTTGCAGCCTGACAATGCGATAGAAAATAAAATCCCATTTTCTGAGGAGAAATTCAAGCCAGCTGCAGAAATTTGCATAAGTAACAAAGAGCCAAATGTTAGTGCCCAAAACAAGTCCCTTCCGCTGCTTCCTCTACCCCTGTGTTTCCCTCAGCTTCTAAATGGACTCAGCTCCAGTTCAGGTCAGAATCTTCTCCCATGATCTACACCTTCAGGTTCCCCAGTGAGGTATGCATTCAAGGGTGGAAGATCCCCCTTTCCCACCTCCACAGTTTGGGCACTCACAGTATTTGGGATGTCTCCCAGGTCCTGCAGGAGCAATCTGCTCCCTTCAGAGGGTCTGTGGGTTCTCTCAGCTTTCCCAGTCATTCCTGCAATAGGTCTGGAGCAAAAGTTCATGATGCAAGACTCCACAAGCTGCTCTGTCCATCCAAGTTGGAGGGGCAATGTATAATGCCTCCCATCCACCATGATTCTGTCCCCTATTCTGTTGTATTCTATTGGTCTATGTGTCTGTTTTTTATACCAGTACTCTACTCTTTTGGTTACTACAGCCTTGTAAAATGTTTTGAACTCAGGTATTGTGATACTTCCAGCTTTGTTCTTTTTGCTCAGGATGGCTTTGCCTATTCAGGATCTTTTATGGTTCTATACAAATTTTAGGATTGTTTTTTATATTTTTGTGGAAAGTGACATTGGTATCTTGATAGGGATCACATTAAATCTGTAGATTGCTTTGGGCCATATGGTCATTTTAATGATATTAATTCTTCTGATCCATTAGCATGGAATTTCTTTCCATTTGTTTGTGTCCACTTCAATTTCTTTCATCAGTGTTTTGTAGTTTGCCTTGTAGGGATCTTTCATCTCTTTGGTAAAATTTATTCCAAGTATTTTATCATATTTTTTGTAGCTATCATAAATGGAATTCTCTTCTTCATTTCTTTTTCAGCTATTTCATTGTTGGTGAATAGAAATGCTACTTATTTCTGCATATTAATTTTGTATCCTGCCAAGTCTACTGAATTGGCTTATCAGTTCTAAGAGTGTTCTGGTGGAGTGTTTGGTTTTTCTAACTATAAGATTATTTTGGAACTTGCTTTATGAGCTCTTGCCAGGAAGATGGCAGATAGGAGACAGGGCTGATGTGCAGCCCCCCTTGGATAGATAGAATAGTACTATGTTGAGTAGGAGGGGTGAACATGTGTATACTTGTCTTTTCCCAGTTCCTAAAGAAAAAGCTTTCAACTTTTCACCATTCTGTATGATGTTAGCTGTGGGTTTTGTCACATAGAGCCTTTATTATATTAAGGCATGATCCTTTTATGCCTAGTTTGTTGAGAGTTTTTATTACGAAAAGGTGTTGAATTTTATCAAATGCTTCTTCTGCATTTATTGAGATAGTCATATGGATTTTGGCCTTCATCATGTTGATGTGATGTATCACATTCATTGATTTGTGTATGTTGAAATATCCTTGCATCCTTGCTGTAAATCCTACTTGATCACATTATATTATTGTTTTGATCTACTGTTGGATTCGGTTTGCTCCTATTTTGGTAAGTATTTTTCCATCTGTATGTATCAGGATATTCACCTGTAGTTTTCTTTCTTGGAGCATCCTTGTCTGGGTTTGCCATTAGGGTAATGCTAGCCTCACAGAATGAGTTTGGGAGAATTCCCTCTTCTTCAACTTTTTGGACCAGTTGGAGGAAAATCGGTGGTGGTTCTCTGAAAGTTTGGTGGAATTCATCAGTGAAACTATATGCTCTTGGATTTTTCTTTTTTGGGAGATTTTTTATTACTGATTCCATTTCAGTACTCAGTATTAGTCTGTCCAGATTTTCTTTCTTCCTGATTCAATCTTGGTAAGTTGTATGTTTCCAGAAATTTATCCATTTCCTCTTGTTTCTCCAGTTTGTTACCATATATTTGTTCATAATGGTTTCTGATTATCTTTTGTATTTATGTGGGATCTGTTGTAATAGCTTCTTTTTCATTTATGATATGGTTTACTTGGGTATTCTCTTTTCTTTTCTTGGTTAGTCTAGTGTGGGGGTTCAGTCAGGATGGTGGGAGAAATTGTAAAATTATAGGATATAGACACAAACCTTCTTGGAAGGCCGGAAGGTATTTGCAAAAGTCTCAAGATAGGGTTATGGCTGAAAGCAGCGTAATCCTTACCTTGAGTTAATTGCTTGGGGCACAGATACAAAGGAACATTTATCTAAATAGCTTGTTTACTCATGTGGTCGTAAGACCAACATTTGTTCAACTGCAGATGCATAATTGCTCTCTACTTGGGGGGGTCGGCAAACAGGTCAATTGCCCTCTAGTGGTGTGAACAAATGCGAGCTTTGCTGGTTGATCAGGGCCATAGATGCAACTCTTTACAGCACCTTCCTTGGTGTCTGTGTGTGGCCTGGACCCTCAGCTGAACTGACAAGCAAGATATCTGTGTCAGTGTACACCTCTCATCCATTACTGGGTCAGGGTCTGTAGGTCAGACTACCACAGCTGGTGCCCCGCGTGAGGAATGCTGCAAGGGGAGATTGATGAACCCCCTGAAAATGAAGGTGAAAAAGGAACTGCGCAGTCAGTGAGTAATCAGTAAGTCATTGGTACTTGCTTGGGATTTCCAAGTTCGGGGCGGGGGATTGTTCAGGCTAAGGTTTCATCATGGGACAACAGTTATCAGCTCAACAGAAACAGTATATAAAAGTATTGAAATGGCTGCTTAAAGCTAGCAGAGCCTCAGTTTCACAGGTTTAATTAAGGAACCTAATGCAAACTGTTGTATCCCATAACCCATGGTTCCCCCAAGAAGGCATGCTAGACCTAGAGCTCTGGGAACGAGTGGGAAAAAATCTTAAGCAACATCATGTTCAAGGGTAACGGGTCCCAGTATCATCTTTAATGCTATGGGCCTTAGTAAGGGCGGCTTTGGTCCCATTATACACAGAAGAGCCTAAAAAGGGGAAGGACAAGGCACCATCATGTATTTTACCACCCGCAAGTTCCTCAGCCCTGATATCACCAGGCCAAAATAACAAAGAGGAAATGGAGGTTTTGCCTGAGCCCCCTCCTCCAATAGATAGGAAAAAAGACAGGAGACATGCTCCAGCTGTGGGACCTTGTCTTAAGCAAGTGGCATTAGAAGGGGAGCTCTTAGCCTGCCTGGTAATGCAAGACCGACAAGGCAATCAGGTACATGAACCCATTTCTTTTAATGCTTATAAGGAGCTAAGAAAAAGCATTAAAGAAAACAGAGCTGCTAGCCCATTTATGAAAGGAATGATTGAGGCCTTGGCAGACCACTTTTCTATGACCCCATGGGACTGGGCAATGCTAACTAAAACAACTTTGGAGCCTAGCCAATACCTCCTCTGGAAGGCAGAATATGATGAGCTGTGTGAACAACAAGCTAACCAGAATCAGGTGACCGGGCAAGACCTAACAGCTGCTATGCTCCAGGGGAAGGATCCCCATGCCTATGTACAACAACTAGATTTTGATTCCCCAGGCCTAAAATCAAGTGTCTTTGTGTGCTCTCAGGGCTTGGGACTGAATTCCTGAAAGTGGAGTTTAGCAGGGATCTTTTATAAATGTTCAACAAGGGCCTCAGGAGCCATTTGTTGAGTTTTTCAATTGGTTAACCCAGGCAATTAAGAGACAAATTAGTCACGCCCAGGCTGCTGATATCTTATTGTTGCAATTGGCTTTTGAAAACTCTCATGTGGATCACCAGCAGGCAATGCAGGCAATCAGAGGAAAGGCAGCCACAGTCGGGGAACTTATATGAGCATGTCAGCTGGTGGGAACTGAGACACACAAGCCAAAATATTGGTTATGGCATTAAGGCCTCCTAAAGTGAAAAGGGAGAGAAGCCAAAGTTGTTTTCTATGTGGAGAGCCAGATCATATGAAGAGGGAATGCCCCCATAATAGAGACGAAGGTAACTCAGGGAAAGAACCCCCTTCTATATGCCCCGGATGTAAAACGGTGAAACATTGGGCAAATCAATGCAGGTCAAAATTTGATAAAAACAGAAACCCCATAAGTAACCAGGTGGGAAACTTCATGACGGGCTGGCCCTAGGCCCTGCTTCAAACTGGGGCAATCCCAGCAGCTTTCCTCGGTCTGATGGAGAGCTCACAGTCCTCTCTCTCAGAGCAGCCACCACTGGGAGTGCAGGACTGGACTTACTCTGCCCCAACAAATCAGTGCTGAAAGAAGGAGAAGACCCTAAAAGGGCTGCATACGGGATCTGGGGCCAGCTGCCTCCAGAAGCAGTGGGATTAGTCCTAGGGCGGTCTAGCCTGTCCAGTAAAGGAATTAATGTGCTCACTGGGGTAATTGGTAGTGATTACCAAGGTGAGATATTGGTTATGATGGAATGTAAAGGTCTGAATATTCTTCCCCCTGGATCAAAGATAGCTCAGTTACTGATTTTGCCATACTGGGTCCCCAGTGCCCACGGAAAGGAAAGGGGAAAGGAAGTTTTGGGAGCACAGGAGCCACAGGAGTATATGGGAATCAATTAATCACTGATCAGAGACCCATGATTATCTTAAAAATTGGAAATAATAATTTTACTGGCTTATTGGACACAGGGGTGGACGTTTCAATCATTAGTGATCAAAACTGGCTAGAAATTTGGCCTTGGGTCACTCAGAAATAAAAAATTGTCTGCATCAGGGAAGCACACAGAGCCAAGCAGAGCATGCACTCCCTAACCTGTTGCAATTCAGAAGGAAGAAAGGCAGTTATACAACCCGTAAGCATGCGCATCCCTGTTAATCTTTGGGGACAGGATTTATTAGCCCAATGCGGGAGGGGTGACTCTCAGCCCCCTTTATAACAATGGCCACTGTTATTATTCCTCCCCTACCCCCGTCGTAGCTCTCTCAAGATCCAATTTGAGTAGAACAGTGGCCTCTGAAGGGAGAGAAATTACAAAAAGCCTGTGAATTAGTTGAAGAGCAATTAAAAGCTGGGCATGTAGAACCATCTATTAGTCCTTGGAATTTGCCCATTTTCATCATTCCCAAAAAGTCTGGGAAATGGAGATTTTGCATGACCTATGTGCTGTTAATGCTAATTTGCAACCTATGGGACCCCTTCAACAGGGCCTCCCATCCCCTGTGGCGATTCCTCGAGATTGGCCTATAATCATTATTGACTTAAAGGACTGCTTTTATATGATTCCCCTAGCAGAACAGGACAGAGAAAAATTTGCATTTACAATACCAGCTATCAATAATGAAAGGCCAGCTTGTTGATTTCATTGGAATGTGCTTCCTCAAGGGATGCTAAACAGTCCTACCAACTGTCAGTATCATGTAAATCAAGCTTTGCTCCCAGTAGAAAAGAATTTCCTAATTGCAAGATTATTTGTTTTATGAATATTTTACCAGCAACCCCAACAGAGCCAATACTTTTAAATTTATATACCTCTGTCATAAAGAATAAACAGCTAAGAGGTTTAATCATTGCACCTGAAAAAGTACAACTTTCTCTCCTTGGAAATATATCTTGGGTACATGCTAACTTCCTGGTCAGTAAGACCTCAAAATGTTAAATTAAATACTAGCAACTTACATTCCTTAAATGATTATCAGAAATTACTAGGTGATATCAACTGGCTCTGCCCCACTTTAGGCATTCCTACTTATAAGCTGCAAAACCTGTTTTCTATCTTAAAGGGCAATATAGCCCTGAATTCTCCCAGATATTTAACCCCTGCAGCAAAAAGGGAAATTGAGGAAATAGAACAAGCCATCTCTCAGAGGCAACTAGATCACATAGACACCCATTATTCCATCCAGTTGTTTATTTTCCCCACCAAACACTCCCCTTCAGGATTAATAGGACAGATGACCCCAAGACTGCACTTTCTAGAATGGATTTTTTTTTGCTCACATACCAGGACTAAAACACTCTTTCCCTATATTCAGTTAATTAGTAAAGTCATATATTCAGGCCTCAAACAATGCAGTCAGTTGCTAGGCTATGATCCTGATATCCTGAAATCATCAGGATTCCTTTAAGTAAAAAGCAATTAGAAGCAGTTTTGTCCCTATTGTTAGATCTGCAAATAGCTCTCTCTGATTACACAGGACAAATAGAGCATGTTCTTCCTGCTGATAAATTCCTTCATTTCTTATCTCATACTCCTGTGATCTTGCCTACAAAAATAGTTCATTCCTCCATACCTAATGCTTTAACATTGTTTACTGATGATTCAGGCAAACATGGAAAGGCAGCAGTCTGGTGGAGACCACATAATTCACTCACTCGATCTGGGTTTACTAGCATTCAGAGAGGTGAGATCGGGGCCCTGATATTGGCCTTGGAAACTTTTTCTACTCAGCCATCAATATAGTTAGTGATTCTGCCTACTTTATTTATTTATCGCAAAATCTTGAAGCAGCCGTAATTAAGTCCACTCTGGAGCCCGCCCTGTGTGCTCTTTTTCTCTGATTTCAGCAATTGCTAAATCAATGTACACATCCTACTTTTATTACACACATTCGAGCCCACAGCTCTCTGCCTGGCCCATTGGCTTATGGCAATGATCAAGCAGACCTTCAGGTGATGACATCACTGCTTGATCAAGCCACCCAATCGCATCAATTTTTCCACCAAAATTGGAGAAACTTATCTAAGCAATTTCAACTTACCCAGAGACTGGCTAAACAAATTATCCCACAATTCTCAAATTGCCAGCTAACAGGCATGTCTCCTCCTTCAAAAGCTGTTAACCCTAGAGGATTAGAACCTAATCAGTTATGGCAAACAGAAGTTACATCCCTGAATTTGGAAAACTAAGATATGTACATGTATCCATTGATACTAACACTCATCTAATTAGTGCACACGCTCTTCCTTGGAGAGTCCACTCAATATGTCATTAAACATCTTCTTTCAACTTTTGCATGTATGGGGCGGCCCATAAAAATTAAAACTGATAATGGTCCAGTTTATGCCAGCTCACAATTTCAACAATTTTGTCACACGTGGAATATCCAACGTTCCATAGGCATCCCGTATAACCCCCAAGGACAGGCCATAGTAGAACGTGCCCACTCCAGCCTTAAAAATACGCTCAAAAAACAGAAAAGGGGGAGTATGGGTAAAGACCCTGCAACACTATTGGCACAAGCCTTATTTACCCTTAATTTTTAAAATGTAGATGACAAATTTCAATCAACTATAGAGAAACACTTTTTGCTAAAACCTCTCAAGACATAAAACCTGCAGTTTTATGGAAAGATGTAAGCAGTAATGTATGGTGTGGTCCAAATGAATTGTTAACTTGGAGAAGAGGGTATGCTTGTGTCCACACCCTCTCAAGTCCTCTTTGGATTCCAGCACGATGCATCAAACCATACCATGACATGGCTAGGACCCAACCCGGTACCAGAAATGAAGGAACTAACCCTGCAGGACCCACGGTCCCGGATGATGCAGCTTCCGTGGATGACACAAACCCTAGACATTACTGGGGAATGCTGAAGAGGACAACTCGGGAGGCTGAATGAACCCTGCTCTGGACACAAACACCATTCACTCCAGATAATTTGCTCCTTGCTATGATTTCTGTTGTACATTGCAACTCATGTAGGGTATTGATCCTTTTTATGCTCGTGCTTTGTCTGCAACCTGTTCCTGCTACACTCTATTGGGCTCATATCTTAGATCCGCCTTTCTTTCACCCTGTCACCTAGGCAGACACTCCCTTCCCAACTTTTAATAACATAACTGCTTGGCTAGGAGGGATAGATTTACCCCCAGTGGGGTCCCTCGATAATGGCACACATTGGACTAAGGTGCCAGAAACACTGCATATCACTCCACTATCCTCCCACTGTGTGTAAGTTATAAAGATTATAACCCTTACTGTGTACCTGCCCAAACACAATTATGGCTACATCATGGCAAAAGAAATGCCTTTAAAGTCTTAGCTGCAGGTAGCTTCAAATCAGGTAATGCAATCAATGACTCTTTCCCAAACATTCCTTCCTGTGCTAAAGAACAAAGCTGGGAAAGTAATGGATTCCACTTTAGCTGGGAGGTCTGTCACGGGGAATAAGCTTGTAGCCTTCAGCTAGGCCATTATAATACCTTAGACTGGAGCCCCCACGGCCATTTTCAGGGCATCCTTACTGATGTCCTCATCCATCATGGTGTCAATCACAGTTTCGTAGCCTCATCACGTTCCCCTATGATTTGGGCCAATAGGGGGGATGGGTTATCCCATACCCCAAGTAAAGTCCATGCTACCCAAGACATTTTATGGTACCTGAGACATCTTAGCACCTCCTTTTCACCTGGCATGGACATATCATAATTCCAGTGGCAAATACACTATAACCTTTATTCATAATCACACTGATCAGTGCCTAATTTACACTACCCATACATATATTTTCCTTATGGGAACTGATATTTCCATTACACCCCAAAACTCCTCATTTGTGACCCAGGTGCAGAAACAGGCTTGGTTTGCCTCATGTATCACTAATTATAATACATCTAATTTAAATATTACTAGTGTCATGGTATTAAGGAGACAATCTGAGGCATTCCTACCCAGTCAATTTGACATGCGATTGGCAAAGTTCCTCTGCCCTTGCCACCTAAGAATGTGCCCTGTCCTAGGCCAGACCCAAAAGATACATAGGCACACTTACAGCCTTTATAGTCTCAGCCACAGTCATCCTAGCAACTGCTAGTGTGGCTGTAGCAGCTATTACTGAATCACTACAAATAGGTGCTTTTGTAGATAATTTGGCCAGAAACGTGTCTAATGAACTTCTCTTACAGCAGGGTCTAGAGCAAAAGATTCTTGCACGTCTGCAAGCCCTTGAGGTCCTTGAGGCTGCCCTGGAATATATGGGGGAGTAACAAGATGCACTGGCATTCTAACAGCAATTAAACTGCGACTGGGCGCATAAACATATCTGTGTCACTTCTCTATCATAGAGTCAATCAATACATAGTTGGGATGAAGTGAAACAACACCTCTGGGGAACAATTCATGACAATTTAATAGCAGATGTAAAGCAACTTCAAACTAAAATTTTAGAATCCCTTCCCACTATAGATCTACACACCCAACAAACAGCCATATGGAAGGGTGTGCAAGATCATCACTCCTGGTTAGACCCCCGCTCCTGGGGTTCACTCTTTGACTGGAAAAGAATGTTGCTAATTATTCTCATGATTGTCTTATGTTATTTGCTAATTCTAGGATGCAAAGCCAGAATGAAAGCGATGACTGCCTTGCCTGACAGACGTGTTGCTGCACACATCTGTACACTTCAGTCAACAGAAGAGCGTGTGCACTTATTAGATGAGTGTTGGTATCAATGGATACATGTACATATCTTAGTTTTCCAAATTCAGGGATGTAACTTCTGTTTGCCATAACTGATTAGGTTCTAATCCTCTAGGGTTAACACCTTTTGTGTTAGAACCTGTGAAGTAGAAGTAACTCAGAAGTGCTCCTCAGAGAGTAGACAGCTCTTTCTCTAACCGTTTCCAGCTCAGTAGAATTTAGAAAGGCTTCTAGGAGGCCAACCAGTCTTTTTGATCCAACATTGAATTGTAAAACCGGATATGGAAGCCAAATTTCACAGTGGATCTAACAAAGTAGCTAATGGGTACTATGCTTCTGAGAACCTGAACAGGCCTCTGAGAGCTGTAACTAGAAGAAAAGTAAAGACTCCGGACTCCAGCACCAAGCAGGTTTTCCTTAGCAATTTACAACCTGAAGCTCCAAGGAAAAACTATTTTAGCATACACCAAAACTATTCCCATGTGCCAACAGGTAAGGAGACTTGTACTTATATTCTGTTTTATTCTTCTCTAACTCGTTTCTGTGCACTATTTCTATGTTTTCTCCTTAGTTTTACCTTGCCTGGGTTTGCCCATTTGTTATTCATATCTATTTATCAATCCCAAAATACTAAAAGGATCCAGGCAGGGCAGCTTTAATTGGTGGCTGCACAGAGTGCTACTTCCTGTGAGGCAGCAATTCTAACCCTAGTTGGCATACACTTCAGATTTTCTCAACAGCAGAAGATGTAACCTTCCCAAGAACCCACTTCAACCCTCAGTTCTCTCACTTCTATGTCCACGTGACACTCTGATACATTTTCCCACTATGAAACAGAACTGTTCTCTTGATAGCATGCCATACCTCTCCCTTCTCTGCAACTCACTCAGGACAATCTCAGTACCTTTATTACCTGGTCACAAGTGAGGATGCTTCACACTCAAATCTCATTGGCTGGAGGGAAAGTCATTAAGCAGAAGTGATAATTCTTGTCATCACAGCTTTCTCCAAACCTTCTCCATCGGCATTTTACTCTCACTCTTAGAGCTTAGCTTCAACCATCAAACAGACAGTTGAGTGTTCAACAGTCCCTTTATGGGACAGATTTTTTTAGTTGACTGTGTATTCTAACCCTGAGCAATGGGGCCCCTGGCTAAGAGAGAGAAGGGAAAGCAGAGAGGGAAGTGTTGCAATGCTACCTTTTCAGAGAGGAAATAGAGACAAATAGTTTTTATGGGTGTAATACACAGCCTCCACTGTCCCACAATAAGAGCAATTGAGCTTAAATACCAAAAAGGGCTTTTCTATGTGAGCTGAAAACAGAAAGAGAGAGCAAATGGGAGGATGGGCTGGAGTAATCTTGTTTGAAGTTCTCTCATCCTAAGGAAGAACCTTTTCTTCCTCTGTCATACACGAGTGCTTAGGGCTTACATAAGCCCCATCTGCACGCTGCTAGGAGCAGATCATCCTACTCAAGACAATAAAAAAGGAATCATCATGTACCTTACATATTTAGAGATACGTGCGTACACTTTTCTCATAAATAAAGCAACACACCCCTGCCTGACCTCCTAGGACCTCCATAGTTGAGGTATAGTTATTTGGAGTCAGAGATTCTTAAACCAATCCTGGTTCTGCTTTTTTCACTTCACCAAACCAAACTTGACCAGATTCTTTAATGGCTCCAAAATCACAACCCTTTGAACTATTTTACTCCTGTTTTCCATTTTCCTTTATACCTCTGTCCAGGTGGTACAGATTTTTCTTAAAAATCTATGTCTGAGTGTACAGAGCTTCAAGTAAAGTTCAAGCAGGGAATAGGAGATCTATCACCTTCCTTATTACAGAAATATTGCTGATATTAATGCAGGCTAATGTTATATTAAGTCCCTTGACAGGTATATCAAACTATTTGGTCTTATCCAGTTGGTGGTCAACCAGATAGTTATAAGTGAGATGGAGAGACAGGTCATTCTCTTCCCATAGCCCTCTCTTCCTTACCCTATTTACCCCAAAACGCTGAGGCAGGAAATAATGCATACTCCTTTGTGCACTGCTCCTCCATTTCCCATTTTTAAATGGAGACATACTTAAGGCATAATCTTCAGCCCTTTGCTCATCTCTCTACACTCATTCTCCTGCAGATCTCAGTCACCCTCATGGCATCAATCATGATGCCACAGAAAAACCCATTAGTGTATAGTCTCTGGCTTCATCTCAGTATATGTACTGGGCACATCCGTCTGGATGTTCCGTCATTACCTCAAACTCTGTCCTTAATTTTTTTGTTAGAAACATCTCTTCTCTACAAACCATGCTTTGTGTTCAGCATGCTCATCTGGCATCCAGTTTAAGAAGGATATCTTCTGGCCATGATTTGATTTTTGTATGAAAAAAATCTTTGTTGTAGAAATCAGCATACTATTTTTTTTTTATTATTATTATTTTATTGATCATTCTTGGGTGTTTCTCGCAGAGGGGGATTTGGCAGGGTCACAGGACAATAGTGGAGGGAAGGTCAGCAGATAAACAAGTGAACAAAGGTCTCTGGTTTTCCTAGGCAGAGGACCCTGCGGCCTTCCGCAGTGTTTGTGTCCCTGGGTACTTGAGATTAGGGAGTGGTGATGACTCTTAAGGAGCATGCTGCCTTCAAGCATCTGTTTAACAAAGCACATCTTGCACCACCCTTAATCCATTCAACCCTGAGTGGATACAGCACATGTTTCAGAGAGCACAGGGTTGGGGGTAAGGTCACCGATCAACAGGATCCCAAGGCAGAAGAATTTTTCTTAGTACAGAACAAAATGAAAAGTCTCCCATGTCTACCTCTTTCTACACAGACACGGCAACCATCCGATTTCTCAATCTTTTCCCCACCTTTCCCCCGTTTCTATTCTACAAAACCGCCATTGTCATCACGGCCCGTTCTCAATGAGCTGTTGGGTACACCTCCCAGACGGGGTGGTGGCGGGGCAGAGGGGCTCCTCACTTCCCAGTAGGCGCGGCCGGGCAGAGGCGCCCCTCACTTCCCGGATGGGGTGGCTGGCCGGGCGGGGGGCTGACCCCCCCACCTCCCTCCCGGACGGGGCGGCTGGCAGGGCAGGGGGCTGACCCCCCCACCTCCCTCCCGGACGGGGCGGCTGGCTGGGCAGAGGGGCTCTTCACTTCCCAGTAGGGGCGGCCGGGCAGAGGCGCCCCTCACTTCCCGGATGGGGTGGCTGGCCGGGCGGGGGGCTGACCCCCCCACCTCCCTCCCGGATGGGGCGGCTGGCCGGGCAGGGGACTGACTCCCCCACCTCCCTCCCGGATGGGGCGGCTGGCCGGGCAGAGGGGCTCCTCACTTCCCAGTAGGGGCGGCCGGGCAGAGGCGCCCCTCACCTGCCGGACGGGGCGGCTGGCCGGGCGGGGGGCTGACCCCCCCACCTCCCTCCCGGAGGAGGTGACTGCCGGGCGGAGACGCTCCTCAATTCCCAGACAGGGTGGCTGCTGGGCGGAGGGGTTCCTCACTTCTCAGACGGGGCGGTTGCCAGGCAGAGGGTCTCCTCACTTCTCAGACGGGGCGGCCGGGCAGAGACGCTCCTCACATCCCGGACGGGGCGGCAGGGCAGAGGTGCTCCCCACATCTCAGACGATGGGCGGCCAGGCAGAGACGCTCCTCACTTCCCAGATGTGATGGCGGCCGGGAAGAGGCGCTCCTCACTTCCTAGATGGGATGGCGGCCGGGCAGAGACGCTCCTCACTTTCCAGACTGGGCAGCCAGGCAGAGGGGCTCCTCACATCCCAGACGATGGGCGGCCAGGCGGAGACGCTCTTCACTTCCCAGACGGGGTGGCGGCCGGGCAGAGGCTGCAGTCTCGGCACTTTGGGAGGCCAAGGCAGGCTGCTGGGAGGTGGAGGTTGTAGCGAGCCGAGATCACGCCACTGCACTCCAGCCTGGGCACCATTGAGCACTGAGTGAACGAGACTCTGTCTGCAATCCCGGCACCTCGGGAGGCCGAGGCTGGCGGATCACTCTCGGTTAGGAGCTGGAGACCAGCCCAGCCAATACAGCGAATCCCCATCTCCACCAAAAAAATACGAAAACCAGTCAGGTGTGGCGGCGCGCGCCTGCAATCGCAGGCACTCGGCAAGCTGAGGCAGGAGAATCAGGCAGGGAGGTTGCAGTGAGCCGTGATGGCAGCAGTATCGTCCAGCTTCGGCTCGGCATCAGAGGGAGACTGTGGAAAGAGAGGGAGAGGGAGACCGTGGGGAGAGGGAGAGGGAGAGGGAGAGGGAGACCGTGGGGAGAGGGAGAGGGAGAGACACTATTTTTTAAAATATGGAGAGAAGATATTCTGGTGGCTGAAAGTGTGGTCTGGTGTCAGATATAAATGTGCAAATGCCTTCTTGCTGTCCTGTCGGTCTCAGTACATTCACCTTATAGCTGCTGGAAATATCGAAGGTTCCTTTTTTGTTTGTGTAAACTCTAATTTCTATCAAGGTGTCATGGACTTTTAAAATTAGTATTTCATTACAAATGTCTCAGCATTGGTCAATTTTTGCCAGGACCATTATTGATCAAGCAAATAAATTCAACAGCCATTAGGAAAAAAAAAGAAGGCCATCTTCTTTTTTCAATAAATGTATTATATAGTTAATAGTTTCATTTATATAGAATGCATAGAAACTGTTCACAGAATGTCCAGCATTTTGTATTTTTGCAGTAGGGAACATTTCTTCACTGAATTCCACTTTCACATTAGATAATTTAATAGTTTTATGGAGAAAGTAAAATGCCCGCCCCCCTCCCCCACCCAAAATTGAAAATTTCAGTTGTTGGTTTTCATGGACACACCTTATCAGGTAATTCCTTTTTATTCCTAGTTTTCTAGGACTTTTTATCATGAATGAGCAAATGCCTTTTTCTGCATCCATTTACATAATTACATAATTTTTCTTTTGTATTCTGTTAAGATGTGGAATCACATTGATTTTTTGCATGTTAAACATGCCTTCCATTCCTGGCATAAACTTTTATGATCATGTTATATCATCCTTTTTAATATATTATTGAATTCAATTTTAAAAAATATTTTGTTAAACATTTTCATGGCTATGTTTGTGTGTCTTTAGTTTCCTTTTCTTTTAATGTCATTGTTTGATGTTAGTATATTGGACTTGTAAATTATTGGGATGTGTTTTCTTCTGCTCTTTTGTTGAAAGAGTTTGTATTGAGTTTGTATTGTTTCTTCCTTAAATGTATAATAGAATTAATCATACAGACATTAAAAGTATTATGACAGTATTATGACAGAATACTATGGATTAATCAATGAAGCCATCTGACCTGGAAACCATTTGGCCTTCTCTGTGAGAAGGATTTTTAAAATTACAAACTTAATTTCTTCCATTGACAGAGATTTCTTCTTGATTTAGTTTTGGTAATTTGAATCGTTCAAGAAATGTTTCTATTTCATGTTGTTAAAATAAAAATTTTAGAGAAGTTGAATTTAACAGAGTTTATTTAGCAAAGAACAATTCATGAATTGGGGAGCCCTCAGAACCCAGAAAGATTCAGAAAGCTCTGTCCAGCAACATGTGAAGGCAGTGTTTATAGATAAAAACAGGAAGTGATACTCAAAACCAGCCAATTTATTACAGCTCAGTGTTTGCCTTATATGGGCATGGCGTGATGAGGCATTTGCCTTATGGGGGACATAATATGATCACTTGGCAGCCTGTGATTGGCTGAGACTCAGCTATTTATTACAACACTCTTAAGTTAGGCTGTAGTTTGTTTGCATAACGCAGTTATGTTAAGTTGGGTTAGTTTGCTATGTAGGAATTTAAGATATGGAGAAAGCTTTACACCAAATTTAATTTAATTTAACAATGTAAATTGTCAAATTTATTGTCATTTTTGTTTATTGGCATTTTCATAGCATTCTGTCATAATACTTTTAATGTCTGTATGATTTGTTGTGACGTACCCACTTCCATTTCTGATATTGGGGATTTGAGTCTTATCTCTTTTTCTTGATCCATCTACCTAGAGATTCATGAATGTATTGAGCCTTATTGAAAACCAGCAATTGACTTTGTTTATTTTCTTTATTGTTTGTCCATTTTATTGCATTTATTTCTGATCTTATTAATCTTGGGATTCATTTGACTTTTTTTTTCTAGCTTCTTAAGATGGGAACATAGATGGTTGATTTTAGAGTTTCCCTCCTTTCCAATTATGTAAAGTTATAAATTATTCTCTAATTAGTGTATCATACTAATTTTGATAGTGTGCTTTCATATTCACTCAGTTCAAAATATTTTCTAATTTTCCTTCTGACTCTTTTTAAATCCAGGTGCTGTTTAGCAGTATACTTTTTAATTTCTAGGTATTTGGGACTTTCAAGGTATTTTTCTGTTATTGGTTTCTAATTTAATGCTATTGTGGTCCGAGAATGTATTCTGTATGATTTCAATAGAGACATTTATTTATTTAGACATTTATTTATATGTGTTTATGACCCAGTGTATAGTCTGTCCTGTGGAATATTCTTGAGCATTTGAAAATAATGTGTATTCTGCCACTATTGGGTGGAATATTCTACAGATCTTGATTAGATCACGTTGGTTCATTGATAATGTTATTTAAATCTATCATGTCCTCATGAAGTTTTTTCCTAAATATTTTATTGTTTACTGAGTGCTAGAATACTAAAATATAATTGTGAATTTGTCTATTTCTGATTTATTTTTATCATTTTTGGTATAATGTGATTTAAGACATATTTTCTAAGAACAAACACATTTAGGATTGTTATATGTTGATAATAAAATGATCCTTTTATCATTATGAACTATCCTTCTTTCTCCTTGGTAATATTTCTGAGTCTTATATTTCTGATATTAACACAGCCACCAATACTTCCATGGTTGGCATTATTTTCGTTTTTTTTTTTTTTTACTTTAAGTTCTGGGATACATGTGCAGAATGTGCAGGTTTGTTACATAGTTATACATGTGCCATGTGGTTTGCTGCATCTATCAACCCATCATCTAGGTTTTAAGCCATGCATACATTCGGTATGTGTCCTAATGCTCTCCCTCCCCTTGCTCCCCATGCCCTGACAGACCCTGGTGTGAGGTGTTCCCCTCCCTGTGTCCATGTGTTCTAATTGTTGAACTCCCACTTACGAGTGAGAACGTGTGGTGTTTGGTTTTCTGTTCCTGTGTTAGTTTGCTGTGAAGGATGGCTTCCAGCTTCATCCATGTCCCCACAAACAACATGAACTCATTTTTTTATGGCTGCATAGCATTCCACGGTATACATGTATTTTCCCATTCTTTTACTTTTTACCTGTCTTTGCCTTCATATTTAAAGAGGGCATTATGTAGAGAGCATGAAGTTGGCCTGTAGATTTTTTTGTGCATTCTGACAATCTTTCCCTTTTCATTAGAATATTTAGGCCATGTGCATTTAATTCAATTATTAGTATGGTTGTTTTAAACTCTACCATCTTACAGTTTGTTTTCTTTTTGTCTTACCAGACTTTCCCTTTTTTATTTCTTTATTTTGAATTAATTATGCTTAGTGTTCTATTTTATCTTCTCCATTGGCCTCTTGGCTATACCTCTTTTTTTTTCAATAGTTATCAGGAGCTTAAAATATTCATCTTAATACATTCTACCTTCAAATAATAACACACCACTTAACATGTATAAGAAACTTACAACATTATACTTCCATTTCTCCCTTCTATTCTTTGTGCCATTGTCATCATATTTTACTTCTGGGTATGTTATAAACCCCCAAATAATTTTTACTTTAAACAATTCCTTTTTTAACTTAAAAAAAACTAGAGAACATGTTTTTATATTTATCTGAATTTTTACCATTTCATGCTTTTTTCATCGTAATATCTAATGAACACTCATAAAGAAACAAAATCCTTGCTCAAATAAGATATTTTTCTTCATAATCATCACTATTCTCAAACCTTTGAAAGCTCTGGTAATCATGATTTAAGTTCTCCCACATGGAGTGACTATGGCTGGTAAAAATTGCAATGAATTAGGGCATTTTAAAAATTTTATTTCTTGGCTCTTAGTTTATCATGTAGAAAAATCCTCCATGAAATATTGCTATAATTACAATACAGCCTTGGGAAGGAAGCTCAGGGGCTGTGAATGGAATCCTAATCTGCCTGAAATCTTGATCCAGACAGACCAAATCTCTTCCCTCAGAGACTTCAAACACTGCAGTCTTCAAACTACATCCAAGAAAATCTTCATCCAAGTAAAATTTCCCCCAAATATCCTTTCTCTACCCCACCCTATCCTGTAGTTAGGGAAAAACCCAGGACTGAATCAATATCCTCAGACCTTTCCGTTCAAGTGGGATCAGAACCTTTAGTAACCACATCGGCAACAGAGGTTGAAACCACACCTTCAAGAAATAGTATTCACATGTGACCTGGTCCTAGACTTCCAGTAAGAATGACTCAGAGTCTCCCCGCTCTGAAATACTGAAGTATTTATTGGTCTTAGGGTATTCTCGGGAAGGTGACAGTGAGGGGTTCTTCAAAGGAGAACAGAGGATAAAAGGCTCAATGAAAGGATAATCTCCATATTAGTGCTACCAAAGTGTCATTAATTTCTATTTGTTGGAAACTTTACTAAGGAATGACTGCTTTGAGGTAATGGATAAGGACAGAGCTTGAAGGGTCAGCAATTCAGTCAGCCACTGGAGTAGTTTTCACATGAAGTGAGAAGAAAAGCTGAGATGGAGTTTGTAGGGCAGCTGGAGTTCAGATCTCTCCTAAGTCCTCTTCTGTTCAGATATTTTGTCACCTGCAGCAACACACACAGTTATTGTCATTCCTGGGTTCAGTACTGTAAGCCCGGACCCATCTTCCCCACTCCCTTTGCACCCGAGCTTCCCATTTCTCTGCCCTGTTCAGGTCCCAGGGAGAAGGTGGTCATCCCTGCACATGCCCTGGTCCTCCAGGTGAAGAGCACATAGGAGCCAAGGAGTTCACGAAAGTCATTGAATTTCACCCTCAAACCCCAGCTGACTGTGAGGCCATCCCACATGCTTCATGTCTCCAAAATATACAGACAAGGGGAAGGGCCACATTACTGAGGGCAGAGAAGAAGCTTAACCCTGGAATGAGAATTGGAAGGGACAAATATCCAAACCATATCAATGACGGCAATGAACGAAGGATACTTGCTCACATTGTGTATACTGCTCTTTGAAAGGATTTCAAAAACCAAGGTAAATTTTCTAAAATGACCTCTGTTGAACATCTGACAGCAGTACTTCCTCCTTCCTGAATTCTTTAATTCCTTGGCTCATGTGACAGCATATTCTCCTAATTCTTCTGCTTCTCTGCTTCTCCATTTTTGTTAAATACTCCTCTTTGGATGTTTTGTTAATCATGTATCTTTGCATTAATTTTGCCTTTTCAAGATATTTCATTAAAATATGATTTATTACTGAGTTCTTTTGGTATCCCCCAAATTTTGCACCTAAGCCAAGTGCATCCCCTACATCACCCTAGTCCCAGCCCTCTTTTCCATTCTTCCTCTTAACATCTGACATTCTACATTCACTTCACTCTGTTACAAATCATTATAGATATAATTATAAATGTGTGTGAACTAAGAAAAATAAACAAGAATTTGTCCTACTGGATACTAACACACACTACAATGTCATAGTAATCAAAATACTAGGACACTGGCACAAGAAGAGACAAACAGAACAGTGGAACAAGATGGAACTCAGACACAGGCCCACCTATAATGGGAGCTTTCAGTATAGCAAAGGAGACACTACTAACCTATGGGGAAAAGGTGAACTATTTAGTAGTTGTGGGAACACACTGGCCCATTATATAAAGAAAAATAAAACATGATCCCCATCAAACACAAAGATGAATCCCAGATGAATTAAAGTAGTAAATGTGAAATTTAAAACTGTAGGAGATGTTTTAAGAGTATCTTTGATATCTCAGTATAGGGAAGACTTCTTTTAAAAAAGACACACAAACAAAAATACAGTTGATGGACTTCATTACAAAATATTAAGGATTTCTCTTCAATAAAGGAAACCAAGGAGACAGTTGCCAGAAGTCAGATTAGAGGAAAACATTTGCAATGCCTAAAACTGACAAGGGACTACTAGCAGGACTATATAAGGATCACCTGCAAATCAATAAGAAAATGATGGAAGCACATAGTACAAAAATGGACAATGAATGTGAACAGGCAATTTATAGAAAAGGAACCCCCAAGTGGCTAATCAGTCCTAATTATAGCCCCAATTATTAGTAATTAAAGAAATGCAAAATAAAACAGCATATTTCTTTATGCACATGAAATTGGCAAAAGTTAGAAAACTGGATAATGTCCAGTGTTGAAGTCCATTTAGGAGTTGCAGGACAATTAGAGTACTGACAAAGGAAGTTCAGATGAGTACAGCCATTCTGATGAGAAGATGAGCAGTGTTTAGTCAAATTAAGGAGCTGCATCTCCAACAACCCTGCAACCCCTTTCTAGGATACATACATTCCAGGGATGCAGGTCAGGCCCACATGTATATGCAGTTCCATGTGAGATACAAGCATTGCTTGCAATAGTAGAGAACCAGGAATGATCCAGGTATCCCAGGAGCAATGTAGATATGTGGATTAATATGATTTGGATATTTGTCACTTCCAAGTCTCATGTTGAAAATTGATCCCCAGTGTTGCAGGTGGGGCCTGGTGGGAGGTATTTGAATCATGGAGGAGACCCTCATGAATGGCTTTGTCCCCTCTCCGGGTAATGAGTGAGTTCTCACTCTATTAGTGCACATGAAACCTGGTTGTTAAAAAGAGGCTGGCACCTCTTTCTATGTCTCTTTCTCCCTCTATGACCATGTGATGCACTGGCTCCACTTGCCTTCCACCATGAGTAAAAGCTTCCAGAATCCCCCAACAGAAGCAGATGCTAGTGCCATGTTTCGCGTACAGCCTGCAGATCTGTGAGCCATTTAAAGCTCTTTTCTTCGTAAATTAGGTAACTTCAGATATTCCTTTATAGCAATGCAAAATGGACTAATGCATGGACATATAAAGTAAAATACTATGGAAGATTTGGAAGAAACAAACTGGATGTACAAAATTAGATCTATAATTTAATGCCATTTTGGTTAATTAAAAATACATGTACACTGGACACTACTACATATTACAGAGGATCTATGCAAATAAAAGGAAACATCAAATTCATTAAAATGTTTACCTATGAGGTAGGGGTAAGAGGTTAGATATGGGAGTAAGGACTGGAGATAAAAGGGACCAAATAAATCAAGGGAGAGAGAGAGAGCTCGGAGGCACCAATGATGATCATATAATGAACTGAGAAGTTCTTAACCTTTTGTACCTGAGGTCCAGCATGAATAACAATAATAATAATGAATTAGATGTGGTCATCTGCATGGAAGTTCACTGTCTAATGCTAAGAGAATTCCCAAAACATATAAAAATATAAAGCATGGTGAGTGTTATGATAAATAGAAACCTGTAAGATCTCTGGAGAGGCATTTTTTGTGTGAACATTGCCATGGAATGAGTCCAAGTAGAGACAGTAAGTAGTTACAGGCACCCACCACACTGTGTTGTAATTATGTATAGAAATATAGATCTGACTCCATTATTTGGCAATGGACTCTGGAGAATTTGAACTTGGTCTTTTCCTTCACAAAATAGGGTGAATAGGACAGTGGATAAACAGTCTTGGATCCAGACTTTCTGGATTGGAAGCTAGCCCTACTACTTCATAGCTGTGGGAACTTGATCAAAGTGCTTAAAGTCTCTGTGTATGTAAAAAGATGTAAGTATCTCTCATGTGAAATAGTGAAAATAATAGTACCTACCTCAAAGACTATGTGTGAGAATAAAGTGAGTTAATAAATGTAAATCCTCAGAATAGCGCCTGACCATATTAACTACTCAGTTAGTTATCGGTGTTGTTGTTGTTATGTGGCTGAATGCTTTTAACCCATTAGAAGATCAATGAACACTTATCAGATTGAATTTTTCCTCCCTTCCTTACATTCTACAAATCCTAGGGCCTCCTCTTTACATTCCCACCTTTACAGTATTTCACAGGGTCCCCTGGGCCCGGGGGTCATGGCCAGAACGCAGAGACTTTATGATGAGGACGGTGCCCACGATGATGCCGACTAGGCCCAGCACCAGGCCCAGGGCACAGAGCACAGTCTCCGTTGTCTCAGGCATCTGGATTGGCTCTTGGGCCTCTGGGGGAAGAATGAAGAGATAGGGTCAGGAGGTGCAGTGAGGGTGGTGATGGCCTGGGATGGTTGTGGGAATTGAAGGTTATGGACCAGTTAATTGGATGTTAGGACGAGGAGAGGACTGAGACCCAGCCAGTGCGGAAAGCTGGTGCAGAGGACACCAGGTCTTTGGAATAGAGGATGCCAGGAGATTATGGAGAGAAAAGCAGTTGCATACCCCAGTGCTTGAGGAGCGGCTGGTCCAAGCCCCAGTGCTCCACCCTGCAGTCATAGAAGTCCTCTGCTGAGGGCACAAAGGTCAGGTAATGGAACTTGTGGAAGCTGTAATCTGTTCTGGGCAGGAAGAGGCTCTCAGCGACACCCTCAGTGACCAGCTCCCCGTTGCACAGCCACGTGACGTTGAGCACTGGTGGGAAGAACTTGTCAATGTGGCAGATGAGGGTGTTGGGCTGGCCCAGCTCCACAGGCTCCTTGGGAAACACGGTCACCTCAGGGGGATCTGGAAGGAGACAGCACCAGGTTAGGCCCCTCTTCTGGGATGAATCACAAAGGCTCCACCTCTTAGGGGAGGGTGGTCCTCTACCTCAGCCTTAGATTTTATGGCAGCTCTGAATCACAGAGAGGGGTATCACACCACTGACCAGCCTCACTCTGCTCACCTTTCTCTCTCCTGAGAAGAGAGGATGCAAGCCCTTGCTGTAGTGGGATCAGCCCATGGCCACTAGGGGAAGAGGATCACACAGCAGGGGGCACTTAGGCTTCCTAGTCTGAGGGTGGCAGAGAGGCCCTCTCATCCCTTCCAGTTGGGCTACAGAGGAAGAGGCAAAGATAGGGCGTACCGTTGGTGGCCTGAGTGTGGTTGGAACGCTGGATCAAGGTATTCAAGTTGTTGTTCAATATAGCAATGTTAGCCAGCCCGCCCTGAGCCTCAAAGGAAAAGGCTTGGCCAAACTCCTCCAGATGCCAGACGGTCTCCTTCTTGTCCAGATCCACATAGAACATCTCATCTTCATCAAATTCAAACATAAACTCCCCTGTTGGTCTATGCGTCTGTACAAACGCGGCATAAGTTGACACATGGTCCGCTGCATAAAGACAGTAGAGAAAAACACGACAAAATGTCAGTTTGAATATGCAAGTGGTCAAAGCTAGAGAATGAATAAAGACTTATGAATATAAAAAGGAAGAAGGTAAGAGGTCAAAGGAAGGACATATGGGGAAGAAGAAGGAGCAACACCATAAAGGAAATAATACAGAGCAGATGAGCAGTTATAAAAAGAAAGGAGCAAAGAACAAAATGAAAAGTTTATCACTGATAAGTCAAGCTGCTTCCTGGTCTTTGAAAGTCTGGGCATCCTGACCCTACACAATAGTAATAGTAACAATGACAGCTAACATTTGTTGAGCACTTACTTGTGCCAGGCATCCTTCTAAATACTTTACATATTTCACTCGCTGAATTGTCACAATAACCCTATGAAGCAAATACATATCATACATTTTACAGGTAAGGAAATGCAGGGAAGTTACATATTAATAACTTGCTAAGGTCATACGGCTACTGGCGGAACTAGTAGAGAGGTTTTCTCTCCCATTAAGATCTTAATTTTTCTATGACACAGATGTAAAATTGTTTTTAGAGTCATGGGGGTGGGGGAATGGACATTTTCTTTTTCTTATTATAGAAAAGGTAGAAAAAAATACAAAATTGAGAGGAAGAAGAAAATATCCTTCAAATTTTAGGGCTCTTGACAGTTTTAAAGTTTCTGTCTTAGTTTATGAACATGAAACTGTAGAATGTATAGCTTTGTTGATAATATTTTTCATTTGGGGCATATAAATTCAAAAGTACAGTACAGTTATTTTGGCATTTGTTCCAAACTTTTGTTTCCTTTTTAAAAATATTTCAACATTTATTTTATGTTCAGGAGTACATGTGCAGGTTTGTTGTATAGGTAAACTCATGACTTGGGGGTTTAGTGTACAGATTATTTCATCACACAGGTACTAAGCATTCTAAACTTTTCTTACATTTATATTTTGATTTTTGTTTTAGAGGCCAACTAGAAATTATTGCTGAGTTTGGAACACCTGTAGGATTTAATTTATTTTGTTTCTTAGTCTTTATTAGTTTGTAAGAATTAGCAAAGATAAGAGGATAAAAGCAACTATTATCATGAAAGAAAACGATGAATGTGTATGTGAAAGTCTGGGTTTAGAATGATAAATGCATCAGAGTGAGAAGGAACTACGGGACTCTTCTGCTCTCACCTCCCAACTCACAGATTTCCCTGTGAGTTTTCAGCCCTGACATGTGGGGACCCAGTCTGTGCTTGGCCACTTACAGTGACAGGAGAATGACTCCTTGCCACTGTAATTGTAAGTGTCTAGAGGGTATGACCTGTGTCTTATTTTTCACTGAGAATGACTCCCTGACACAGTAAGTGGCCAAGCAAAGAGTGGTATTTGAAACTAAACAAAACAAATCCTATAGGTATTTCACTAGGAAACTTAGCTTGCTCCTCAGTTTAAAGGACTCAAAGGACTCATCAGGAAAAAGAGGGTAAAATAAAAAGACACAAAGTCCTCTAGCAGTTATTGGAAACTCATCTTCTTAATACATGAATGTCCCTTGTACTTTTTAAAATGCTTTTTAAAAAACACTTTCACAAGTTCTGCAGTCCAAAGATCAGCCAGCTATGGAACAGATTATTTTTCTTCAAAATATCATTTCCATTCAGACAAAAATATGTATTAAAAGACTACTATATGTCAAACACTGTTAGATGCTAAATACCCAAATAAAAATAATACATACGTCCTGTTCTGCAGACGCGTATAAGTCACAGAAGGAAACACAAGTGACAGGACAACAGCAGGTTCAGAAGGATAAGTGCAGATACGTAGGTATACACAAGATGCGACCAAACAGCACATCAGGGAAGGCTTCCTGGGGTACAGATGGCTTCAATGTAGGCATTCAGAAAACAGGGCAAAAGCCACTTCTCTCAGGGAAGACAGCCTGACCGGGAGAAGATACTGAGTTTACTGTGGGGCTATTGCACTTAGAAGACCTGAAAGTCATCTAAGGAGAAATAATACATAGATATTTGTGGATTATGGGTGGTCTCAGGAGAGGAATTTAGGCCATAGAACTGAGAGTCATTAGTGGCAGGTGCAGGTTAAATAAGATTTTCCAGGAAGAGTGCCAAAAATCAGAATTGCCGAGATCTCAGGGTATAATGAGAGAACATGATAGTTAAGAGGTGGTTTAAAAGATGATAAGGAGGATCCAGGTAAACAGGAGAAAAATAAGGACAGGGTAGTTCATCAGAAAGAAGTGGATTATAGTGCAAATGTTATTAGTAACTCAAGTCAGAGGCACTGAGAAGAACCCACTGAATTTGACCTTCTGTAGAGGTTCCTGATGGCCAAGATGAGAGGATCCTCAGGGATGTACCAGAGACAAGTCAGAAGCTTAGCTCCACGTGTGAGGACACAAAGAAAGTGTCTCTGGGACAGGATGCAGACTGAAGGCAAGGTTGTTTTTTATCAGTTGGTTTGCACTTATGTTTTTAAGGTAAATGACATGTTTAAATGTTAAGAGACTGGGCAGGGAAGCCCTGAAGAGACAGCTGAGCTCATTAGGAATTTCTACCAAGAATACTAAAAAGTATTTGCATCTATGAAGAGAAGCCTATTGTGGTGTTTATTATAACATAACATTAGAAATAACTCAGGTGACCGCGAACAGGGCAATAGATACTTCTGGTTCTACCCAGCCTGACCTCCTCTTTATTCTACACATCTTAAATAAAACTGTCTGAAGCCAGTGTGCATCTTGTACGTTATGGATTCTAACCTTCCCCATCACTAGATTTTGGAATGACAGCATCATGCACAGGCTTGATGTCATTCTCCCTGATTTCAGCTACAGGAAAAAGGAGCATTCACTACGGTCCATCTCTGGCTGAGTCCTTGCAGCTATCAAAAGTCTAGGCCTCCCTTGCAGTCCTGAATCTCTCAGAACCCGAATCACAAGGCTATCAAGACCATGCAACCCTGCTGTCTTGAGAGAGGAAAGCTTGTGACCACCCACAAAGACCCAGGAAGAGCCCTAGGGTCCTAGAAGAGAGGGAGGATACAGAAACACTCTTTGCACTTCGTCTCCTAATGCAGAGTCCATAGCTCGGAGTTCCTGTAAAGCAGCCACAAAAGATAGAGGCTGGGGATCCCAGAGAGATAGGAGGGCCCTGATAGTAGGTCACTGTGTGCAGGAATCTGGGGAAGGCAGTGTATGACCCTCAGAGCTGGGTCTGGACTTCAAACTTGGCTCGTTGATCTGCTGTGTAACCTTGGAAAACTTATTCATCTTTTTGAGCTTCAGTTTTTTCAAAATAATTTCTAAATAAAAGGAATAATTTCTAAATGAATGGAATATTATCTTCATTGAAGATTCCTGTGAGATGTAAATGGGGAAAGAAACTATGCAGGAGTCTCATAAATTCTGGCTGTTATTGCTGTTATTATTATGAGGGCCAGAGGGAACATAGACTATGAGGACCAGATAGATCAATGAGCCCCTAAAATCTGTGATCCCTGAAGCAGCAATCACTCACCCCGACGCTCCTGCGTCCTCCTGAGCACTCACCCTTGATGGCCCCAGCTCCTCGGAGACTCAGCAGGAAAGCCAAGGAGAGGGCTCTCAAGATCACAGCTCTGATATGGAACATTCTGTCTTCAGGGCGCATGTTGTGGGGTCTATAATTGATGACTGTGAGCACAGGAACAGTGATGAGGAACTGAGGCCGAGTGGAGGCAGATGAGACTGAAACTGTGGGCCTCTAGCACTGGAAATGGGTGGAGAGGAATCAGCATGGCTGGGATTCACCTATCAGAGAAATCATAGAGCTGACATTCTCTGTTGCTGGGTAAAGAGGACGCTGGAAGGTGCTGGGGAAGAGATGGGAGAATTTTAGGTACCAGCGTGGTCAAGAGAGCTCCAGTTCACAGTTCATTTTCAGAGTTAGAGAAAGAGATGTAAAAAGATAAGTTACACCTTCTTCTGACGGCAAATGTTTTCCATTATGTTCCTTCTCCCGAGCCCCACCCCCATCCCAGACAGTCAGATGATCTTTGATGTTTTTTGGTCACTATATTTTAAATCATGTTTTATGTTATGTTGTCAATATTTTACAAAAATATTCTGCTGATAATTAAGAATGAATGTGCTATCTAATAAAATATATAATTAATCTTTCTTTCAGGTCCACCTCCCTGAGATACCTCCTTTTTATTTAATCATTTCTGCAGAAGTGTTATAATTTCTATTTAGAGGTTTTAATTAACTTGAATGAAGTTGATCTTTAATTGTTTATCTATTCCTGGTTACCTTTGTTAGTGAAATTTCTAGATAATTTTTATTTTTCAGATTTCTTAGTATTTGATTTTTCCTGGTATTTAAACAGTGTAATAACATTTTTATCTTTAAATTACTAGTCTTGTTATTTCATTTTCATATAAGAATACCCAGGACAGCATTACCTGTGGTAACAATGTGCGCCCATATTTTGATCTTGTTTTTAAGAAGGGTTTCTCTAATGTTTTTCTGTTACAGGTAATGTTAATTTTTTATTTTATATTCTCTTTACCATATTTAAGAAATACTTTTCTAGTCTCATTTTAAATATTTCAATTTTGAGCTATTTATTTGATACTCATAGAGAAGGTCACAAAACATTTACTATTTAATGTAATGATGAAGTACATATATTACGTTAATATTTTATCTTATTTGTGGTAGCCTTACCTTGCATAAATAATAATTACTAACAGATTAGGACATGAGAGATTCTGTTATTAGTGCTTTGCATGCATTACCTCATTTAAACCTCATATTAAACCTGAGGGAGGTATTATTAATGTCTACTGTAAAAATAAATTACCTGAGACATCGAGGAAGTATTTGTCTAATTATCTATGGCAGGTAAATGACAAGGAGAAAAGTCCCACCCAGGCAGTTACTAAAAAAACTGAGTTTTTCTCCACAATCCTCTCCTGGCCCCTTAATCCTACTAGACACCTTCTACTACATAATTATTTTCTTCTCTTGCATTTTACATGCTAGCCTTCTATTTACATTTTAATATTGATTTAAAGAAATGATGCCAATTTGATTTTTTTTGAAATTAGAATTGGTGGTCCAACAGGATCACATTTATAAGTGTCTAAAGTAAGAAGTAATGTTCTTTGAAAGTTTGTAAAAATATTCACTCTAAACAAAATAGAATCAGATGCTTTGAAGGAGGTGGGGTCTTTGATGATTTTTTTTCACTTTCTTCCTTATTTACCAGTCAATTTATATTCTCTATGGACTTTATTTTTCCAAAGCAATTTCAGACCTATTGATCTCATTTGATCTTAAGAGCTTTGCTATAAGGCAGGTTATATCATCCCCATATTGAAGACAAGGAATCGAAGTCCAAGAGAGGCAGTGTCGTTAAAGCTGCATATTTACATGGTAGGGTAGGTGGTGTGTCCACGCTCCCAGTGTAAGGTCCCTAGACTGAGCCCTCCTGACCCTGATGACAGTCCTGTGGAAGAACCTGGTAACTCCTGCACATCGCAGGACTCACAGACCTCTGGGAGAAAGTAAATATGAATGGGTGCTAATCTTAAACACACCCTTGGACAAAGGCAAGACAGACAGACTCAGACCTCATTTGAGTTCTGAGATGGGTACTCTAATCCCTCTAAGTCATGCCACTGAATGACCTTTTACACACTAAGATAGCACTTTTTCCACAACAGACCATGTCCTGTGGGTGTGTGAGGTGTGGCAGAATTGGGGAAATGATAATCCCTGTAGATGGGCCAGCAGAATATTTGAGATCACCTTCAGAGCAAAGAAAACGCATAATCTCCCCAAACATCATGACTTATCTGACTGGTTAAAATGAGTATCACTGTCTTTCCTCCGTCATCTTAAGTGCATCACAGGCTTTATATTTTCAGACCTTTCATACTAACTTTCTGCCTAGTGAGCAATGACTCATACAAAGCTCAGTGTCCATTGGTTCTTTTCTCAGACTCTGTCCAATCCCAGGGTCACAGAAGACTACTTGGGTTCATGGTCTCTAATATTTCAAACAGGAGCTCCCTTTAGCGAGTCCTTCTTTTCCTGACTGCAGCTCTTTTCATTTTGCCATCCTTTTCCAGCTCCATGATGGTTCTGCAGGTTTCTGCGGCCCCCCGGACAGTGGCTCTGACGGCGTTACTGATGGTGCTGCTCACATCTGTGGTCCAGGGCAGGGCCACTCCAGGTAAGAGCCGAACTGCCATTCTTGGAGGGTCTGGCTCAGGGAACAATTCCTAGGGGACGTTATCTTTAAGGGATCAAATTCTGAGACAGGCTGCGGGGGCTCCTGCCCTAAGGCAGTGTCCTCTCTTCCCAGCTAGAGAAAGAGGTTCATCCCCTATAGGATAGCTTGCTACCCTACTGGCCTATTCTCTCTCCAAGGACATGGGTACAGTAAACAGAGAGAGGTGCCCAGTGGTCAGTATGCTTGTCTTTGGGGAAAATGGGACCAAGAGGTCCTGGATAACCTTGGACAGACAAGGTTTGCAGAGAGAGAAGTTGGCAAGTGCAGGCTCCTGGGCGTGTTCATGTCTGCATCCAGCCTGGAGGGGACTCAGGCAGAGAGCCCTAAGCTGGAGTGTCCAGGCTCTGAGGATCACTGAGGATTCAGTGCTCACGAAGAATGCCTCTTATTCCCCAGGGTGGAGCAGGAGCCCACATCCCTTGGACAATTAAGGAGAGAAGGGAGGGAGGGGGATAGGTTTTAGCCCCTGAAGGCATTCTCATTAAAGGTACTTCTCCCAGCCTCCCCAGAACTTGGTTAGGGTACTAGAGTGGGTTGCGACTTGTAGGAAGAATGAGATGAGGTTGTGTGGGTGCATGACAGGGATTGAGTGTAGGTTATCAGACAGCCAAGGAAGCAGTAACCAAGTGAAAAATCTCTTCTTCCTGCTGCCTCCCTGTGGCTGGTGTAATATTATGGCATCTATGATCCATTGTTTTTCTCTCAGGATACTCTCAGGATATTTCTTTTTATATATATATATACTTTAAGTTCTAGGGTACATGTGCACAACGTGCAGGTTTGTTACATATGTATACATGTGCCATGTTGGTGTGCTGCACCCATTAACTCGTCATTTACATTAGGTATATTTCCTAATGCTATCCCTCCCCCCTCCCCCCACCCCACAACAGGCCCCGGTGTATGATGTTCCCCTTCCTGTGTCCATGTGTTCTCATTGTTCAGTTCCCACCTATGAGTGAGAACATGTGGTCTTTGGTTTTCTGTCCTTGCAATAGTTTGCTGTGAATGATGGTTTCCAGCTTCCTCCATGTCCCTACAAAGGACATGAACTCATCCTTTTTTATGGCTGCACAGTATTCCATGGTGTATATGTGTGCATTTTCTTAATCCAGTCTATCACTGATGGACAGTTGGGTTGGTTCCAAGTCTTTGCTATTGTGAATAGTGCCGCTATAAACATATGTGTGCATGTGTCTTTATAGCAGCATGATTTATAATCCTTTGGGTATATACCCAGTAATGGGATGGCTGGGTCAAATGGTATTTCTAGTTCTAGATCCTTGAGGAATTGCCACAATGTCTTGAGATACCATCTCACACCAGTTAAAATGGCGATCATTAAAAAGTCAGGAAACAACAGGTGCTGGAGAGGATGTGGAGAAATAGGAACACTTTTACTCTGTTGGTGGGACTGTAAACTAGTTCAACCATTGTACTCTCAGGACATTTCTAGTCCAAATTTACACCAACACTCTGAGAGGAAGGACTGCAAAGTAGGTACCTTAGTTTTCCACTGACTTCCACTTTTCCTGCTTACACCCTTCCTCCTAGACCTCTCCACACCCCTCCTAGGACACACCTAAAAGGTACTGACATCATGTCACCTCCTCATCTTTCAGGGTAGCAAGGTTGGAATCTCCTGAATACAGCCCCTCAAGCCCTAAAACCTCTTATCTATTACCTTGGGTTCATTGTCCAGGAAGGGGAGGAGAACTTGAACTTGTAGTCACAGAAGGGTGCTGAGAACTAACCAGCAGGACGGCTCAGCCCTGGGAACTGCAGAGGGGTGAGGCTGGGGAGAGAGGAGGCTGGAGCAGCACTGGTGACACTGAACAGTGTCAGGAGGAAGTGACGGATGCAGCGCCCCCATCCCATAGGCAGAGCTGTCATGTGGGATGAGGGACAGTGTTGGGAGCCACCAAGGAAACCCAGAGGTGGGGGAGCAGAGAGCAGAAGGGAGCATGTGATGCTGGACAGTGAAAGGGAGGACAGGCAAAGGCTGGGTTGAGGTTTGTAGGGGGAATGAGATGAGGCAGTGGAGCCATGTGACAGGGACTGAGGGTAGATTACTGGAGCTCCCTGCGTAGAATGAATGTTCAATCAAAATTTGCTGGAGGGAGAGCTGGAGCCATAGGGGAGTGGGTAAAGTGGGCAGGGCTGATTCCACAATTCCCTGCATGCTCCCCCAACTCCACACACATCCCCAACCTCAAACAGGGCACAAGACCAAAGGGCTGAGGAGCCAGGCTATAGCTTAAAGAGGCTGGGGGAGAAAAGCTTGGCTGAGACAACCCATAGGGAGCTAGAGGTTTTTAATATATCCTATTCTGAATAAGAGACGAATTCATTCAGATCAGTGGTTTCAAACCGTGCTCTGGGCAACTCAATTGCTAAGGGTTCCACAAACAGGATAAAGTTTCTTATATACAAAAAAAAATGAAGGTTTCAAATTACACCATAAAACCCCTCATTGCTTATGTCTACTTGGCAGGTAAAATTCCATTTCAAAAGTTAAATGTACTTAAAAAATTACCTAAGACTGGGTAAATTAAAAAAATTAAATGTTGCAAAGAAAAAATTCAAAATTCTTATTCTTGAATGAAAAACGTTCTCTTACTGGTGATTGAGGAGGAGAAACAAAGACTAACAAATGAAAATGGGAGAATCCACACTCAGAGTGGGGCAACTGAACAGGCAGGGGCGGATGGATGGCAGAGGAGGAGGAATCTGGACTCAAGGAGCTGGGGGGCTCTGGGCCTGGAATTTTAGGGTCTGGGGCCCAAGGCACCAGGAGAAGAGGCAGGTCAGGATATCTGAGTCAAGACCTGGGATCTTGCCTTAGCAATGACACTGGAGACTAAAGGTGGACTCCATGGTGCCCTTGAGCCCAGCCCTACCCCATCTCCACTATCCTCTGCCACCAGCTGTGCAACTTCTGCTAGGGGTGAGGTTAATAAACTGGAGAAGTTAATTTGTGGAGCATGAAACAGATGAGCAGAACAATCACAGCACCTTAATTTCCCCAGTGTGCCCAAGAACAGAGCAGGCCTGAAGATACTCAAACAGAAACAAACATGTGCCGTGTCACTGATAATTCTGTGTAGACACACACCTGCCAGACACTGCTCATGGCACTCCCTAGGAAGAACAGCATGTGGGAAAGGCTGCCAAAATTGTTCATGTAAAAATTACATCAATGCTGTCTTCCTCGGTGCTGCCTATGCAGCTGGCAGCCATCTCTTCCTCCACATCATGGCCTCCCTCAGACTCCTCATGAAGGATAAGATCCTCAAAAAGAGGACCAACAAGTTCATGAGGCACCAATCAGACTGAAATGTCAAAATTAAGCATAACTGGCGGAAACCCAGAGGTCTTAACAGTAGGGTTCGTAGAAGGTCCAAGGGCCAGATCTTGATGCCCAACATTGCTTATGGGAGCAACAACAACAACAAAAAAAACATGCTGCCCAGTGGCTTCCAGAAGTTTCTGGTCCACAGCCTCAAGGAGCTGAAAGTGCTGCTGATGTGCAACAAATCTTACTGTGCTGAGATCGCTCACAAAATTTCCTCCAGAACTGCAAAGTCATCATGGAAAGAGTCACCCAGCCGGCCATCAGAGTCACCAACCCCAGTACCAGGGTGCACAGCTAAGAAAATGAGTAGAAAGTTCATGTCCACGTTTTGTGTGTAAATAAAACCATAAAAACTGCCAAAAAAAATTACATCAATGCCTCTAAACCCAAAGGACTCTACCCCCACAGGTCCCTGGTTGTTGTGGTGATTTTCATTGTGTAAAATACTTTCCACATCTTTTGACACCAAGTCTTTCTGCAGCCATGTTTGAAAATTAACTTTCAGGCTACAGAGTCTTTCTTATACCAAAGTTGAAGAAAGTTTTAAGAAATATATTTCTACATCTCCTACATGCAAAACAACAGGAGCAAGTTGAGGAATTCTCAAGAAACTGGTCGAGAAGAGAGAGCGCTTAGCTATGGAAAAGAGAAAGAAGGAAGGGAGGGCTTCCTGGAGGAGGTGGCATTTGAACCAGGACTGACATCAGGATGGAAATGTCAGTCAGGGAGTTAAGTAGGGGGAGCAGCTCCGCCCTCCACGTCCCCAGCTCCTCCCGCCCCTGTTTTTTCTCCCAGTGACCCCACGTGAAACGTCTCCGCCTCCTCCAGCCACCAGCAGAAGGGACTGCCTTCCCCTCAGTGCTCGCCCCTCCCTAGTGATCACTCAGTGCCCCTGAGCTCATTCTTTTCAGTAAATTCTCTCTCTGCGTGGTGAGAAAACAGGCCTGGAGAGGCTCTGCGACCCGCTTAGGACCACAGAACTCGGTACTAGGAAAACTCCTATTTTAAAATCCAGCCCTGGGTGGGAAGATTTGGGAAGAATCGTTAATATTGAGAGAGAGAGGGAGAAAGAGGATTAGATGAGAGTGGCGCCTCCGCTCATGTCCGCCCCCTCCCCGCAGAGAATTACCTTTTCCAGGGACGGCAGGAATGCTACGCGTTTAATGGGACACAGCGCTTCCTGGAGAGATACATCTACAACCGGGAGGAGTTCGTGCGCTTCGACAGCGACGTGGGGGAGTTCCGGGCGGTGACGGAGCTGGGGCGGCCTGATGAGGAGTACTGGAACAGCCAGAAGGACATCCTGGAGGAGAAGCGGGCAGTGCCGGACAGGATGTGCAGACACAACTACGAGCTGGGCGGGCCCATGACCCTGCAGCGCCGAGGTGAGTGAGGGCTTTGGGCCGGCGGTCCCAGGGCAGCCCCGCGGGCCCGTGCCCAGGGCGCAGGAGCAGCCGGGTTGGCCTAAGGGACCTTAGTGCCGGGCGGAAAGGGGACTTTGGGTTGGGGATTCATGGGGGGAGCCCATCTGGAGCTTGTCAGGGGAGCGAGCGCGGGGACCTGGACTGGGCTGAGCATGGAGTGAGGAGGACGAGAGCAGAGAGACCCCCGGGACTTCATCAGGCCTGGCAGCTGACTGCATGTGGGGTGAAAAAAGGAAGCCACAGGACAGCGCACAAGGGTATGGTGTGGAGATGGAGGTGGAGATGGCACAGCAGGCCACACAGAGAAGAAACCTACAGGGAGGTAGCTGGGTTTGAGGTGCTTGAGGGGCAGATGGGTGGTCTGATGGGCAGGTAGACAGAAGGGTCTGCAGCCGGGGAGGAGACTGAGATACATGAGACCATCCAGGGAGAGGGGACCCAGGGGGAAGAGCAAAGGACCGGATCCTGGGAACTGGACAGTTGTGATTTGGCCAAGACAGAAAAGCCTGTGAAAGAGACCAAAAAAACCCAAGTGCAGTGTGAGGAGAGGCCCGCAGAGAAGAGTCTTGGAAGCTGAGGGGAGGTGACCTCAGCAGCACAGTGGACAGCGGTGCCAGTGACTTGGGAAGGTCAGAAAACAGAAGATGGAAAGTGGGTTTGGAAACCAGGGAGACCTGGGGAGAGCAGGTTGGCCGCAGCGGCAGGAGCTGGAATGGGAGGGGGTGCATGAGGCTGAGTGTGGCGCATCCTCCTCGGGGCTGAGATGGATTTTACTTGTCTTGGGTTCCCCACGGCTGTCACAGGGCAGTGTCTCAGTTCATTCGTCTTTTTCCTTCAGGAAGTCTGGGTGTAAAGGGATGGAGAGAGGTGAGGTGTGTGCAGTAAGAGGATTTCTCAAGGATGGGACAGGAAGGCCTTGGAGCTTTGGCTTCCTCCTGTGAACTTGTGGGGTGGGGAGCCTGGTGCACCAACCTGAGGGACTTGAGGGAGTAGTATCAGGATGTGGGATTGAGCCCTGGACCTTTTTTCTAGAAAGAGGAAAAAAATGAAGGGAGGAGGAGGAGGAAGCTGGGGAGATCACACCTTTGATTTTCTTGTTCCTGGAAAGTGAAAGGAAGTTCACCTGCTATGAGTGAGAAGGTGGACACACTGGGTGGGGATGAGGTGAGTGACATGAGCTTAGGAAAGTTGCTGAGGTAATTGGTTGAGAGAGGTGTTCAAATAAAAATAACGCAATTGGCAAAAACTGTTACTAAGACTTTGTAGAGGCACCAATCAGTGACATGGCAGCATTTTCTTTCACAGTAATCAACTGCCAGATTGCAGACAGCCCTGATGCCAGCCTAAGGAGTGTGGGTTTCTCCTCCAGGCCCGCAGGTCCCCAACCTCACTCCTCTGAAGACTCTTCTGGAGATCCTCTGTGATGCACAGATCTCCAGACTCAGTGCCCCCAGACTCAGATTCCCTGGGTGGGGAGGTCTGGGGATCTCTGCTTGTAATCAGCTCCCTAGAGGTTCCCATGTAGCCAGATAAGTATTGTCAGAACACTGAAGATTTTTGAAAAATGAAAAAGAGAAGGTTGGAGATGTGTCTTCAGAAGACTACTAAGGGTGCTGGCTAGAGGAGGGACCAGAGGCAGGGAGATGAGGTAGGAAACTGCTATTATTTGTCAGGGAAATTGCAATCAAGGCATGAGTTAGAACAGGGAAAACACAGAGGCAAGGGAGAGGTGGAAGGGGGAGGAAAGAAGTAGTGACAATTCCAGGGTGGATGTCCACCCAAATCTAGAAGTAATTGAGCAAATGTTTTCTGGGCATTAGAGAAGGCAACTAGAACAAACAGGAATCCTTGCCTTGGTGAAATGTATTTGAACTGGGTCAGAAATGAGGCCATTGGGTATCAGGCCTTAACTCCAGCGCACCCTGGAGGTCACTGATGTGGCTCCAGGCTGACCTGCTCCTGTCAAAGAATATTGAGCAAGATGCCTCTCGTGGAATGTTCTGGGACCTTAAAACAGATACCCAAGTATTCCCCCTGATTTCATGGTTCCCAGAAGCTCTATGGGGAAGAAATTGTAGGTAATTCACAACTGAGATTTAGACATAAGTTGAATAGTGTAATGGACATTGAGTTAACCGAGGTAATGAAGTAGTGAGACACAGGTGCCCCTGAAATAAACTCACATTGAGGGAAGAGGCTGACAATGTGGATCAGTCTGAAAACAAGGCAAAAATACAATAGGGAGTAAGGGTTGTGTGTCAGTTCAAGACTGTACTTTTACCTGGCCCAGCGCCATGTTAGGGTATTTGTGTTCTCCAGGAAGTAGAAAGGAAAGAACTGAGTGATTAGGGACCTAGAAGACTAATTTGAGACATTCCTCTTGATGAGCTGTTCTCTAGGGTAGTCCTCTGAAAGAGCTGTTCTCTAGTGGATCTCCCTGAATGAACTGTTCTCTAGGAGCACTTGACCCTTTTCTGTGTTTGTTTTTTGTTTTGTGTTTGTGTTTGTTTTTGAGACAGGTTCTCACTTTGTCTCCCAGGCTGGAGTGCTGTGGCACCATCATGGCTCACTGCAGCCTCAACCTCCTGGGCTCAAGTGATCCTCCTGCCTCAGCCTCCCATGTAGCTAGAACTACAGATACACGTACCACCATGTCTGGCTAATTTATTTTTCTTTTTAGAGATGGGTTCTCACTATGTTGCCCAGGCCGGTCTCAAAACCCTGGGCTCAAGTGATCCTCATGCCTCAACCTCCCAAAGTGCTAAGATTATAGGCATGACCACCATGCCTGGCCTTTTCTGCTTTCTGAGGAGGAAAAAGGTACTGGTGGCAGAGATCCAAAAGAAAAGTTGCCAGTGGCAGTGTGGAAATTCACCTGAGAACAACAGGACAAGCTGGGGCACAAATGCAAAGATGCAGAGGGAGGCAACACCTGGTCATCTGTGAGACCTTCATGGGACCTGAAGACGCAGCACAGAGGAGGAACTTGAAAAAGGACGGGATTTCTACTACTCAAGCATGTAGGAGCTCAGGATATTCTGTAAATATGAAGATTTTGAGTTTTTGTAGGTGAGGTAAAAAAATACATAGGTTTTTTACAGAATAAGACATGTAAAGCTCTCTTCATTTTCTTTGTATTTTCATGAAGTTATTAGATTCACAGGCCACCATAATGCCATTGTCTGTATATCTTAATTTCAAGATATTATTTGAGTAAATTTTGCTTCCTTTGTATCAAGATAGAACTTTGAAAAGGTAGGTAATTTCACAGTTGATCAAATATTCTTTGCCCAAATTACTTTTGGTTAAAATTTCTCCTAAATGTGCTACAGAGTGCAAACTCTGTCTCCCTGCCATTCCGCTATATACTTACTAACTATTATTTTATTCAAGATCATGCATGCTCTACTTGAAGGTCTATTTCTATCTTTTCAATGCTACCCTTACCCACTAGCCTAATCACATTATTCCTATTTTCAACATCTAGGAATCAATTACATAGTGAACATGCCTAAGAAATAATAATCTGGGCAGATGCAGTGGCTCAGGCCCGTAATCCCAGCCCTTTGAGAGGCCGAGCGGGTGGATCACTTGAGGTCAGGCGTTGGTCAAGTGCTCCTAGAGAACCAGGCTGACCAACATGGAGAAACCTTGTCTCTACTAATAATACAAAAATTAGCCAGGTGAAGTGGCAGGCACCTATAATCCCAGCTATTCGGGAGGCTGAGGAAGGAGAATTGGTTGAAGCCCGGAGGTGGAGGTTGCAGTGAGCCAATATTGCGCCACTGCATTCCAGACTTGGCAACAGAGTGACACTCCATCTCAACAAAAAGAAAGAATGAAAGAAAGAAAGAGCGAGATTATGTCTCAAAAAAAAGGAAGGAAGGAAGGAAGGAAGGAAGGAAGGAAAGAAGGACAATCTCAAATTCTATTTCATTATTTTTCTTCCACGCTCCTAGTCCAGCCTAGGGTGAATGTTTCCCCCTCCAAGAAGGGGCCCTTGCAGCACCACAACCTGCTTGTCTGCCACGTGACGGATTTCTACCCAGGCAGCATTCAAGTCCGATGGTTCCTGAATGGACAGGAGGAAACAGCTGGGGTCGTGTCCACCAACCTGATCCGTAATGGAGACTGGACCTTCCAGATCCTGGTGATGCTGGAAATGACCCCCCAGCAGGGAGATGTCTACACCTGCCAAGTGGAGCACACCAGCATGGATAGTCCTGTCACCGTGGAGTGGAGTGAGTCTCTGATGACCCTCTAGACCCCACCTCTGAAGAGCAGGGGACTCTCTGGCTCTGGGGTCCACTCATCTTATCTTCTGCATCTATACCCTGGGGCCATGTCCAAACCCCATCTTTCTTCTATACCAGCTCCTGAGCATAGTTTGAAGCCAGGGAAATGGAGACTTCCTGACCTTGGCTTAGGGGTTCCTGAAGATTCATAGTTCTCCCCCTTGTCAGAGAATCTAGGGACACTGACTGGTCTCGAAACCCTCACACTTAGGAACTGACCTCACACATAGGAACAGTTCTCTTCCTTCAGCATTTTAGCCTCTTCTCAGGCATTTTGAGAGGCAACTTCCAGAATCAGCATTTGCCACCTTGTTGAGGTCACACCCCTGTTCCAGATATGAGGGTGGCTCTTTCTGAATTTCCTCTTAGCAAGCTTTTTCCGCTGCACTGTCCTCATCCCGATATGCTGCATCAGGCTCCAGAATCTCAGACAGGACATGAGTAGGGATGCAGCTGGTGGAGGTGACACTAAACCTGGGTCTGTCCTTCCCAGAGGCACAGTCTGATTCTGCCCGGAGTAAGACATTGACGGGAGCTGGGGGCTTCGTGCTGGGGCTCATCATCTGTGGAGTGGGCATCTTCATGCACAGGAGGAGCAAGAAAGGTGAGAAAGCCTGCAGGGTGAGCGGGACTTACCTTCCCCTGGCATATTCACACTTATTCCACGATGAGGGGTTTGACAGAAAAGAAATGTCAGAAAGCTCTAGAGGCCACTGATATCAGATAATCGGGGAACAAACATGACCTATAGCGAGAGAGGGATCCCAGGCTGGGATCTTAATGCAGCCAGATGCATGAGGTCCCAAGTACTCAGGCTCCTGCGGAGCGTCCATTGAGTGATGGGCAATGGAATTTGGTGGGATGGAAATGTTTCTCTAATTATCTGAGGTGGTTTCAATGGCTGATTATATAACCTTTCGTCTTTCATTTCAGTTCAACGAGGATCTGCATAAACAGGTAATATTCCTGCTTTGATTTCCTTGTGGGGTGGGTTGCAGGAGGATATGAGTCCTTTCTGTGCATTGTAACACTGAGGCTCCTCCAGGAAGGGAATCTCAGGCATGAACCCCTCTTTCAATGTCAGCCTTCAGGCAAGTGGGGAAAGAGCATTGCTTGGCTCCATTGCTGAAGGAAGCAGAGATCAACTCTGTTATTTATCAGCCTGAGACGCATCCTCTCACCATAATTTTTCTCTCCTGGACTTACAGGAAGGAGGCTGGCAACCTGGGATAACTTGTCTTTTACCCCCACAGGGTTCCTGAGCTCACTGAAAAGACTATTGTGCCTTAGGAAAAGCATTTGCTGTGTTTCGTTAGCATCTGGCTCCAGGACAGACCTTCAACTTCCAAATTGGATACTGCTGCCAAGAAGTTGCTCTGAAGTCAGTTTCTATCATTCTGCTCTTTGATTCAAAGCACTGTTTCTCTCACTGGGCCTCCAACCATGTTCCCTTCTTCTTAGCACCACAAATAATCAAAACCCAACATGACTGTTTGTTTTCCTTTAAAAATATGCACCAAATCATCTCTCATCACTTTTCTCTGAGGGTTTTAGTAGACAGTAGGAGTTAATAAAGAAGTTCATTTTGGTTTAAACATAGGAAAGAAGAGAACCATGAAAATGGGGATATGTTAACTATTGTATAATGGGGCCTGTTACACATGACACTCTTCTGAATTGACTGTATTTCAGTGAGCTGCCCCCAAATCAAGTTTAGTGCCCTCATCCATTTATGTCTCAGACCACTATTCTTAACTATTCAATGGTGAGCAGACTGCAAATCTGCCTGATAGGACCCATATTCCCACAGCACTAATTCAACATATACCTTACTGAGAGCATGTTTTATCATTACCATTAAGAAGTTAAATGAACATCAGAATTTAAAATCATAAATATAATCTAATACACTTTAACCATTTTCTTTGTGTGCCATCACAAATACTCCTTAACCAAATACGGCTTGGACTTTTGAATGCATCCAATAGACGTCATTTGTCGTCTAAGTCTGCATTCATCCACCAGCCTAGGCCTCCTGTCTTAATTTTCATACAGACAGAAATGACTCCCCACTGGGGAAAGAGCAAAGCAATACATGTAGCACTCTTTTTCAAACACTGGTCTTTTTTTTTTTCTTAACAATCCAACATTGTTATGTGTTTTGCGTCTCATATTGACACCTTTTGGTCAAGGTAGAGGACATGTTTGTTGTAAGCTTTCTTTTTCGTGTAGAGGATGGATTCTTCACTCCTGATACACACAATCAGTGCACAGCAGCTCTCTTATACATCCAGTTGATGCCTTCAGTCTCCCTGGCTTCTTACAAGCATCTTCTGGGCCTTGTGTGTCCCTGGGCACCTGTCCCTGGTCAATTCCCGAAAGCTACTGTGCTCCTCTTGCCCATCTCCCCTTGCAAATAATATCTTCCATCGGGGGACCGGCTTCCTCCAATTTCAGGAGAGGTGGGGCTGAAGGCACAGACTTGGGCGTCACTGGCACAGATATAAGTAAATACAGCTGGAGTCTGCAGAGAGGCTGGACTGAGTCAGGGAGTCAGGAAAGAGAAGCCACACACAAGGACAACCAATCATGTTTCTCATAATCTTCTTAACCTAGGGAATAGGACACAATCATTTTTTCTTTTTAAAACATCTTTATCCCTGATCAGCCTCATTTCCTCAAAAACTATAAAGGAAAATGCTGCTGACTTGTTTTTGCGTAGTAATTTCAGCTGTCACATAATAAGCTAAGGAAGACAGTATATAGTAAATAAGGACCCTTTATCTGTCTTATTTTCCCTTTTGGCTTCACAGGAAACTTGTGAGAAACCTATGCAGCATAAAATTAATATGATTTCAATCCAGGGATTCAACGATGGAAGGAGGTCATGAGAATAGCAGAAAGTCTTCAAATCGAGATCATTATGAAATCCTCAGACCCAGAGCACATAAATCCTACCCTCAGAGTCACTGAGCAGTTAACATTACAAATTACAAACCATATCCAGTCAGAGTCATTCTCTTTCCTGCTTGTCTCCTGTACTCATGTTACAGGTTAGGGCAGTACCCCGAGTGGAGTGAACAATCTCTGGACTAACACTTGTCAGGATCAGAAGCTGAGGTATCTGCACCCACATTACAGGAACAGGATATGTGCTCCTAGGGAACTGAGGGTGTCAGGAGATGAGGAATGTCCCTGGAGTCACAGAAAGAAGGTATCAGATGTGTCTCACTCTGACATATGCAGGTGTTTATGAAACTCTGGGATTTCTAAGGAAGGATGCAGTGCAGAGACAGGTCCCAGAGGAGACAAGAGCTGAGAGACCATCCAAACTGGGACCACCTTGTCACTAGACTTCAAATTTTCAATATTGATAGAGTGTTTTCTAAGAGTCAGGCCCTTTGCTGAGTGCTATGTGCAGCAGGATCAAAGGCAGCCAGGAGGTAGAGGAGTCTTGAGGTACATCAGTCATTGGAGTTGAAGAGCAGAGATTCAAAGGAAAGTTGGAACTGGAGCTTTAAAGGAGATGTGAAGTGGGTGACTCAACCTCTGACTCAGAAAAATTGATACCTGCAGAAGAAAAAACCCGGCGGGCTTAGGACTCCCAGCTGAGTGTTGTATCCTCCATCCCTTTCCACCTGGTCCCTTCATTTTCTACCCCTCACAGTTCCCTAACGAGAAGGTGGTCCACCCAACAGACAACGCTGCCTCAGATGGTTATCAAGGGGTACCCTAAGAAGAAATCATCTCACCCTCTCTTTGTCCCCATTTGTCAAGTAGCAGTGAGGCCGAGCCAGGGGATGGTGAAAGTGGAAGGAGGTGGGAGTTGGGCATCGGGTGTGAAGATGCTCTTGAAAGGGGTTTTAATAACCACTTGCTACCAGGCCAGTGAACACTTACCATAGTTGATGCCTTTTGAGCATGTTGCATTGTAAACTGTCCCTGAAATTACTGTGCACTTGGCTTATGGGATGAAACATCCTCCTAGTTCTTTTGTCTCTCAGCTTCTCTGAAGTCTCATTGAGCACCTTCTCTTCAATTTCTTTTACACAGTAAGAATAGGATCAGCTGTGCTAAACTAACAAATACCCAGATATCCAGGTTTGGCTCATGTTACACGTCCAAAGTAAGTCATGCAGGAAGCTCTGCTCATCATCGTACTCAGGAAGCCAGGCTGACAGTCTTTCTCCTGCACATCTGCTCCCAGAACCTCCCCAGCAGAATGAAGGGAACCTAAGAATTTATTCACTGGCTTTTAATGATCCCTCCTAGAAAGAACACACTTCTCGCATTTCATTTTCCAATGTAAATCATATGGCTGCAACTAACTTCAAATAAGTGGGAATACTTGAAGGTGGAAAACATTTAAGAAGTACACACTAAATAAATAATAAAATACTTCTACAAGAGATATTTATGGAGGACCTACTGTGTACCAGGAGCAATGCTAGGCATTATGGATATCAGCAGCCTTTGGCTCCTGAAAAGCTTACACACTACCTCCTGGCCTAAGGAGGGGCACAGGGATGCTGGCAACAGTCTATTTCTTCACCCGGGTACTAGTTACATGGGTGCTTGCGGTGATAACCATTCAACGTACATTCTATTGGTTTGTGTGTTTCTTCCAAATGTCCCCTAGTTCACAATAGAAAGGGCTTAAATAGAGAAGTAAAGGAGAATTTGGGAATTTGAAGCAAAAGCAAGAAGCCACTGAATCAAGCACAAATATTGAGCTTTGATAAAGATTGGAATAAGAAACATAATAAATGAGACAAGAAATAGGACTTTTGCAACTGAAGTGTAATTAATAAACAAAAAGCCAAACTGAGAAACTGTCCCAAGGACAATATGATCGAGTAAACAATAGAAAATGTAAAGGACAAGTGAAGAGAAATGAAGGATAGAAACAGACATCTGACATCTTAATAATTAGACGTCTAGAAAGTCAGGGAAATAGTGGAGGAAGAGGAAATAACTGAAAACATAATAGATGTTTAGTCTTTATAGAAAGATGAAATAAGTTCATTCAAAATGCTGCATAGAATGTCAGACTGTTAAACAATTTTGTTAGAGTAAAATGACTGTAAACAAATGAGCTAATTATGTGAATTAAGAGGATGGAAAAGCAGAAAAACAGCAAAAAGAAAATACATGTAAATAATAAGGACAAAAGCTGAATTCAATGAAATATAAAAATAGAGAAGATAAAATCAAATTTTGAGGCAATGAAAACTTTAATGAGACCTCTGGCAAGACTCCTAAGGAAAATACAGGAGATTCAGAACGAAAAGGGTAAATGACATTTATACACATTTTAAAATGCAAAATCTTACGACCAACTCTATACATATAAATTTGAAAATTTAGATAAAACGGATACGTTTCTAGAAAGATATAAAGGTCAAAACTACAGGAAGAAATAGAAAACTAAAATAGAGTAGAGAATATCAAAGAAATTGTCATGGGAAGCAAAGAATCGCCTTCCAAAGGGCCCTGTCCTGATCTTATTGCAGATGAGGGCGTCCTCCCACATTTCCAGGAGCAGATCATGCCTCTTACACGTGTGATTCTAGAACATAGAATGGAACAGAATTTTTGAGATCATTTTATGAGGTTGGTTCATTTATATTTCCAGAGCCAGCTAAGAATAGTACAGGAGAACAGGATTGTGGACTAATTTTAGCCATGTCACTGAATCCAACAGTACATTATAAAAACAATACGTTTTGACCAATTTTAGATTTATTCTAGGAATGCAATGATTCTTCAGTGTCAGAAAATATATAATGTGGTTAACACATTAGTGGACTCCGCAAAATTCATATTAATTTAAACTGAATTCAGCTCAAGACATAGACAGAATTTAATCAATTTCATGACATGTTAAAGGTAGTGAACCAAAAATCTATAGCATATATATTTCAAAGAAATGAGGTGGATTGCCTTTGAGATTGTGCAAAAGATAGGATGTCCTTCGTTGCTGGAAATGTTTAACATAGCATTGGAAGTTCTGAACATCACTCTGCGGGCAGAAGAAAATTAAGGCTGTGTAAAATGTAGGAAGACAGATAGTGACTGCAGATGAAATAATCTAAATACTGGACAAGACTGCAGCCACTGCAGGCCCAAAGCCTGGGTTTAAATCCAAGCTTTGCACTTTGAAGCTGTGTGGTCTTCACCTCTCCCGGTGTCTGATTCCTGCTCTGTAACATGAAATAAATAAGAACCAACCTCCAGATGTAAATAAGTGAACACATGAGAAGCACTTAGAATAGTGCCTAGAACATAGTAAGCAACTCAATGAATGTCATTTCTCATTACATTTGTTAATGTTTTTATCCAGCCCAATGGCAGTAAAACATCAATGCTCAAAGAGCCCCTGGTGAAGTGTTTCTCTTTCCCACTCTTCACCCCTAACTTGTTACCTCGTCTTTTCCACTCTGTCCCTAATACACCTATAGGATGACTCATAGGAGCCCCTGGACCCGGGGATGCTGTCAGATCGCTTGGTCTTTGAGACAATGGTGCCATTAAGGACCCCCGCCAGGCCCACCAGCAGGCCGAGGGCACAGACCAGCATCTCCATGGTCTCAGGCACCTGGATTATTTCATGGACCTCTGGGGCACCAAGGGAAGACAGAGTTATAAGGTACAGAGAGCAGGGGCTGGCCTTGGATGTGGGAGGTGTTGGGTATTCGAAACCATGAGATGGTGAAATTTGGATAAAGTGACCATAAAACATGGGATTGAGGAAGGCAGGTGCTGAGGGGCGATGGGCCCAGGAAATAAAGGTGGTGCCAAGGCCGTGAGGGCAGAGGGAGGGCGCTCCATACCCCAGTGCCTGAGGAGAGGCTGGTGCAGGCCCCAGTGCTCCCCCTGGAGGTCACAGGTGTCCTCGGCCATGGGAACGAGGGTCAGATAGTGGAACCTGTGTAATCTGAGTTTCTTGCTGGGCAGGAAGATGGTCTCTGCAATACCCTCAATGACTGGCTCCCCATTGCGCAGCCACGTGATGTTCAGCACTGGTGGGAAGAACTTGTCAACATGGCAGACGAGGGTGTTGGGCTGGCCCAGATCCACAGGCTCCTTGGGAAAGACGCTTACCTCGGTGGGGGCTCCAAAAGGGGATAGAACCCAAGGAGCCTACTGCCATTGGCTGATTCTTAAAGGTTCCACCACCCCAAGTCCTATATTCACCAGATTAGGGGCCACCTCTCCCAGGCCCATCCTCCTGCTCCCCTAGGGCTCCTGGACAGGGTCACAGCTTCTCGTGCTCCTGACCTGGCCCCCTCAGCCCAGCCTTTCTCTTGAGTAAGAAGAAAATGCCTCCTCCTCTGCTGTCCTAAGAACCCAGCTGTGTGGACCCAAGATTTCTCGCTCTCAGGGAAGGGGCTCATTCATGAGTGGGCATCATGGCCTCTAGTTCTATGTGTGGCAGAGAGGCCCTCCCATCCCTCCAGCTGGACTCTAGAGGAACAGGCAGCTATAGGCAGTGCCATTTGTGGCCCAAGTCTGTTTGGACCATTGATCCGGGTGTTCAAGTGCTTCCTTGCCATGACGATGCCAGCAATACCCCTCTGAGAGGAACAGGCAGCTATAGGCAGTGCCATTTGTGGCCCAAGTCTGTTTGGACCATTGATCCGGGTGTTCAAGTGCTTCCTTGCCATGACGATGCCAGCAATACCCCTCTGAGCACCAAAGTCAAAGGTGTGAATAAACTCTGGTAGAGGCCAGACCATCTCCTTCTCATCCAGGTTCACGTAGAACTGCTCCTCCTCATCAAATTCAAACATATACTCCCCAGAGGGTCTGTGCGTCTGCACAAACTCCGCATATGTTGACACATGGTCTGCTGCATGAAGGAGAAGATGGAGAATGGGTGAATACGTAGGATGCTACACAGAATGCAGGAAGCAAACAGGTAACAGGAAGGTTATTGGGAACATGAAGGAATAACACAGAAAATGAGAAATGCAAATGAAAGAAAAGAAAAGGAGTGAGAAGAAACAAAGACAGAAATGACCCATGGACGATACAGGTTGTTTCCCTTGTCCCTGAAGACTTAACATCCGTCTATGATAATGGTAATGCTGAATACAGTAAGATAATATTTATTGGGCACTTACTATGTGCTAAACTTACTCATTGAATCTTCACACCCCCATGTAGAAGAACTTATTTTCCATAGTAGGGAACTGACCCCAGAGGTAAAGTAACTTGTCCAAGTCACACAACTCCTGGTAGAAACAATATTGAGTAGTCCTCCTACCTCATTCCTGTAGGATCTCAGAAACCCTACAGGACAATACATTAAAAATTACTGATATAGCCATAAAGCAAGGCAGGGAAGTGGAAGGATGGAATAAATATTTCAGAGTGGAACAAAATCGTGAAGGACATGAAAATACCTCCAGAGTCTTAGTGACATTTATAGACTTCAAGTTACATTCTTACTTTTAGAAGAAAAATGATACCTTCTATAATTTTATCCACAACACTTACATTTTAGGCAGAGTAAATTTAAAAGTATTATCATTCACATAACATTCACAAAATTGTCTTGTGGAGTGTAGTTTTCAAGTGTAGTTTCACCTGGAAATACAAGTTGTTGGCATTTGAAAGACCTATGGGATAGTATCTTAGCTTTACCTGATACATAAGAAGCAGCAACTGGTTGATAACAAAAAGTGAATTATTATTACAGTGAATTACAGAGAGTTTAGGGTTCGGCCTGGAAGAGGAAGTGAAGCCAAATGACACTGCATGGTTGGTGGTCCCTAAGTGAGGATTTCCCCTCCCAGCCCAGCATGGGGAGAACCAGTCCTCTACTTAGATGCATAGTGTGACAGCAGGTTCAGTGCCGCACATGGATGGTGAGGGTCCCCCACTGAGTTTAGGGTCTAGAGGATTACTCACCTACAGAAATGAATCCCAAAGGAAAAAGAAAAATACACGGTGTATAGACTGGGCTACACAGATGTAATTGGTTCAGCTTAGGTTACTTTGTATTTATTATATTTACAAAATCTGAAAACTAAAGGTTGGCACATTTTGAAGCAAATTCCACACTTCAAATGTTAATTTTCATTCAGTTAATAAATGCTTTTTGTGAACTTTCACTCTCTAGGTAATAAGGATGAAACTCTAAAGATGGGAACTTTGTCCTTAATCTACTTGAAATTCAAGAATAAAACAGACAAAGAAAAGATGATTGCTACATGTGTGGTTTGATCACCACTGAGTATCACAAGGTATACACAAGAGCTACTCAGGAGCAAAATTAAAATACGATTTAGGAAAGGTTCCTAGGGACAGTGTTCACCTGCAGATAGCAAAACAGAGAAAGGGGAAATGGCATTTCCAGCAGGAGAAGCAGGCTCAGGAGCAGAGAGGCATGAAGTTGCAAGGAGAACTGCAGTTCTTCAGTGTGACTGAAGCCAGGGGAGATGTGGGCCAGGCAGCACTGTAACCTGCCTTGTGTGCTGATGGCAAGTGTTTGCATTTTATCCCACAGGACATAGGAAGTTGTGAAGTATCTTAAGCAGGAGAGTAACACGGTCAGATTTGTGTTTGGATGGGGCACCTGTAGGAAGGATGGGCTGGAGGAGGCGGGACTCAAGGCAAGACCAGTAGCACTTTTAAGCCCTCTGGTGGGAAGTAATGAAGGCGTAGGCCAGGGCAGGAACATGGGGTGAGGAGGACAGCAGATGGATTTGATGGCAGTAATGACATGAGAGGCCACAGGAATCACTAAATCACATGCCAGAAGTAGGGATATGAAGAAGTCGAGAATAACCACGCAACGTGGAGAATTGTGGCATCCGTGCCTGCAAAGGTGATAATTAAGTGATTGAGAGAAGGTAAAATTTTCTGTTTGAGACATACTGAATTTAAACTTCTAGGGGAAAACATACAGTTGATTTGAAGGCAGTGAAATAAATGGATGAGTGTCATGCTACATTAGGTTAGTGACATAAACTGGAAGGAGGCTCATGGTGGGTGAAGTTCTAATTTTGGGTCAGGTCACTCAAGAAAAGTACACAAAGTCAGGATAGCAGGGATCTGAGTGTGTGCTCCTGCATCCAGACAAACACAGACATGAAGAAAGAGGCTGAAAAGCAGAGGACTAGAAATTGGTAGGAAAACAGAGAGGAAGTGGGTTCATAAAAGACAAGAGACAGGAGAAAACTTCCAGGAAAGAGGAGAGGGGGCATCTCAAACACACTAATGACACACATAAGACAGAAACAGAACAGTGACCACTGGCTTGAGTTGTATAAAAGTCATTAGTTGCCACCCTGAGAGGAGCATCAGAGATGAGGGAAAGAAAAAGAGAGAGTACATTGGGTTGAGGACTGAATGAAATGGGAGAAAATCGATAATAGGCTGGGCACAGTGGCCCATACCTGTAATCTCAGTGATTTGAGAGGCCGAGACAGGAGGATCACTTGAGGCCAGGAGTTTGAAAGCAGCCTAGGAAACATAGTGAGAGTCCATCTCTAAGAAAACAATTTTGGATTCCCTGCCTTCCATGAGCAACACAGCAAACATAAGCTCTGCAGATGTGCTCAGACTTGAGCCTGACTCACTGAAGAGAGTGTGGTGCTGCCAGGCCTCAGACACCAGATTATAATCAACCTCTTCCCAGGCCCTGCACAGGAGAGGCCCACTCTGTGGGGCATACAGTGCCCAGGGGTGGTACAGGCCCTGCAGAGACCACAGACTGTTCACCTGACAAGAAATATCTTGAGGAACTCACTTCACAGATCCCTCAAGAAAGGAACCACTGCAGGAGAATACCCAGAAAATCGAAAGAATTCACAGATCCTTTTAAAGAAGGGAGGGGCCACTGCAAACTCCACCAGACAAGTGAAAAACTGTGCGTTCCCAAAGCGTGAGAGGGGAAAAACCTGCCTCCGGACCCATGTCCCCACTGGGGAACTCGAAAATCCAGATTACAGGAAAAGGATTTAACTTTACCTAGACCTGAAACAGATTTAGCATGAAATACAAAAGTACGCCGGGCGCTGCCGCTCACACCTGTAATCCCGGCACTTTGGGAGGCCGAGGCGGGCGGATTACAAGGTCAGGAGATTGAGACCATCCTGGCTAACACGATGAAACCCCGTCTCTACTAAAAATACAAAACAATTAGCCAGGCGTGGTGGCGGGCGCCTGTAGTGCCAGCTACTAGGAAGGCTGAGGCAGGAGAATGGCATAAACCCGGAAGGCGGAGCCTGCAGTGAACCGAGATCGCGCCACTGCACTCCAGCCTGGGTGACAGAGTGAGACTCCGTCGCAACAAAAAGAAAAAAAATATATATATATATGGTAGATGCAGCAGTGAGAAGAGCCTTGTAGGCACGCCCAGTCTTTAGCTCAAGCCCAGGGAAGCCACCCCTGACTATATCTCACAAGGGCCCTGGGGGAAGGCAGACGGCAAAATTTGGAAGGGGTCACAGTGTGAAAGGAGCGTCCAACTGAAATTTGTTATAATTCTGACTGGGCACAAATCCTCTGGAGCAGAATCTGGGGACGAACGGAACTGCTGGAGAAAGAGCAGAAGTTACTGCCAACATTGTGGGCAGACAGGGAGGCACATGGCCTGAAAGCTGTGCTTGCTTTCTCAGCAGGAAACTTATAGCCTGGAGTGAGGTCTGAGTCCATCCTGAAGGCTGCAGGGAGATAAATTCAATGCTGTTAGTGTGGCACAGCAGGAGCAAAACCTGCCTCGCCAACTGCATGGGAGCTGGGTGAAGCCTATTGCTACCAGGTTTCCCCTACTTCTCTGGTGACAGAGGCAGCCATAATGCCCTCTGGAACATAATTCCATTGGCTGGAGAAAAACCCTCCACCCCATCCCTCACAGTGGCTGCCGCAAGCCCCCCGCCCGAGGAGAGTCTGAGCTCAGACCTGCCTAACCCTGTCCACACCTGAGGGCATTTCTCTACCCACCTGGTAGCCAATCACAAAAGACGTAAACTCTTGGGAGCTTTATGACACCACTCATTGCCTGAGAAACTGAATATTTATCTTGGCCAACTTAGGGCAAGCTTATATCCACCTTCTACTATTGTAGCTGGTGCCCTCTTGAAAGCACCACATCCTGGCTGGAGGCCAACCAACTCAGGACATTACAACAATTCACGACAGAATAACTGCTCTAAGAAAGGAGAAAACAGCTAATTCCACTGGCTGAAAAATCTTGACTAACCAGTGGTCTTCGGTCTGTTCACATGACAACTGCACTGCTAGCATAACCAGCATTTGAGAAAGCCACCACACTAAGTCTATCTACAACCAAGGATTCTCACAGAGTCTACTTCACTCCCCTACCACCTCCACACTGGACCCCAGCAATAGATCCAAACTAAGAAGAAATCTCTGAATTGCTAGATAGAGAATTCAGAAGGTTGATTTTAAGCTACTCAAAAAGATACCAGAGAAAGGTGAAAAACAACTTAAATAAATTTTTTAAAAACACAGGATATGGATTAAAAATGCCCCAGGGACGTAGATATCATAAAGAAGAAACAATCCAACTTCTGGAAATGAAAGACACACTTAGAGAAATACAAAATGCACTGGAAAGTTTCAACAATAGGATCCAACAAGTAGAAGAAAGAACTTCATAGCTCAAACAACAAGCCTTTCGAATTAACCCAGTCAGACAAAGACAAAGAAAAAAGAACTTTAATAAATAAACAAAGCCTCCAAGAAATTTGGGATTATGTTAAATGACCTAAGAATGATTGGCATTCTTGAGGAAGAACAAAAATCTAAAAGTTTGGAAAACATATTTGAGGGAATAATCAAGGAAAACTTCCCTGGCCTCGCTAGAGATCTACACAACCAAATACAAGAAGCTCAAAGACCACCTGGGAAATTTATCACAGAAAGATTATCGCCCAGGCACATAGTCATCAGGTTATCTAAAGTCAGGACAAAGGAAAGAATCTTAAGAGCTGTGAGGCAAAAGCATCAGGTAACCTATAAAGGAAAACCTATCAGATTAACAGCAGCCTATAAGCCAGAAAAGACTGGGGTCTTATCTTTAGCCTCCTCAAACAAAATAATTTCCAGGCAAGAATTTTGTATCCAGCAAAACTAAGCGTCATAAATGAAGGAGAGATAAAGTCTTTTTCAGACAAACAAATGCTGAGAGACTTCACCGCTACCAATCCAGCACTACACAAAATGCTAAAAGGAGTTCTAAGTCTTCAAACAAAACTCCAAAATACACCAAAATAGAACCTCCTTAAAGCATAAATCTCACAGGGCCTATAAAACAGTAATGCAAAGGAAAAAAATAAGGAATTCAGGCAACAACTAGCATGAGAAATAGAACAGTACTTCACATCTCAATATTAACACTCTCCACTTAAAAGATACAGAATGGCAGGAAGGATAAAAATTCAGCAACCAAGTATCTTCAGTCTTCAAGAGTCATCTAATGTGTAAGGACTCACAAAAACTTAAGGTAAAGGAGTGGAAAAAGATATTCCATACAAATGGAAAACAAAAGCAAGCAGGAGTAGCTATTCTTATATCAGTCAAAACAGATTTTAAAGCAACAACAGTTAAAAAAGACAAAGAGGGACATTATACAATGATAAAAGGATAACTCCAACAGGAAAATATCACAATCCTAAACATATATGCACCTAACATGGGAGCTTCCAAATTTATAAAACAATTATTACTAGACATGAGAAATGAGATAGACAGCAACACAATAATAGTGGGGACTTCAATACTCCACTGACAGTACTAGAAAGTCATCAAGACAGAAAGTCAACAATGAGACAATGGACTTAAGTTACACTAGAAGAAATAAACTTAACAGATATTTACAGAACATTCTACTCAACAACTGTAGAATATACATTCTTCTCATCAGCACATGAAACATCCTCCAAGATAGACCACATAATAGGCCACAAAACAAGCCTCAACAAATTTAAGGTAATCAAAATTATATCAAGTCCCCTCTCAGACCACAGTGGAATAAAATTGGAAATTAACTCCAAAAGAAACCTTCAAAACTATACAAATACATGGAAATTAAATAATTTGCTCCTGAATGATCTTTGGGTCAACAGTGAAATCAAGATGCAAAATTCTCTGAACTGAATGATAATAGTGACACAACTTGTGAAAACCACTCGGACACAGTAAAAACAGTCCTAAGAGGAAAGTTCATAGCATTAAATGCCTATATCAAAAAGTCTGAAAGAGCACAAATACAAAATGTAAAGTCACACCTCAAGGAACTAGAGAAACAAGAACAAACCAAACCCAAACCCAGCAGAAGAAAAGAAATAACAAAGAGAGCAGAAGTAAATGAAATTGAAACAAAAAAATACAAAAGATAAATGAAACATGAAGCTGATTCTTTGAAACGATACATAAAATTGATAGACCATTAGTGAGATTAACCAAGAAAAGAGAGGATCCAAATAACCTCAATTAGAAACAAAATGGAAGAAAATGCCACTGATATTACAGAAATATAAAATATCATTCAAGGCTAATATGAACACATTCACAGGCACAAACTAGAAAACCTAGAGAAGACAGATTCCTGGAAATATACAACCCTCCTAGAATAAATCAGGAAGAAATAGAAACTGTGAACAGACCAATAAAAAGCAGAAAGATTGAAATGGTAATTTTTAAAAAACTGCCAACGATAAAAAATCACAGATTCACATGGACTCACAGCTGAATTCAATCAGACATTCAAAGAAGAGAATTGGTACCAATCCTACTGAAACTATTCCAAAACAGAGAAGGAGAGAATCCTCCCTAAATTATTCTATGAAGCCAGGATCGCCCTAATACCAAAACCAGGAAAGGACATAATAAAAAAGAAAACTACAGACCAATATCTCTGATGAAAATAGATGCAAAAATCCTCAACAAAATACAAGCTAACATAATCCAACAGCATATCAAAAAGATCATACATGGTGATAAATTGGGTTTCATGCCAGGGATGCAAGGATGATTTAATACACACAAGTCAATAAATGTGATAGATCACATAAACAGATTTGAAAACAAAAATCATATGATCTCAATAGATGCAGAAAAAGCATTTGACAAAATCCATCATCGCTTTTTTATTAAAACCCTCAGCAAACTTGACATACAAAGATCATAACTTAAGGTAATAAAAACCATCTATGACAAACCCACAGCCGACCTTATACTGAACGGGGAAAAGTTCAAAGCATACCCCCTGAGAACTGGAACAAGATAAGGATGCCCACTCTCACCACTTCTATTCAACATAGTACTGGAAATCCTAGCCAGAGCAATCAGACAAATCAGTAAATAGGAAGTCAAACTGTCACTGTTCACCAATGATATGACTGTATACCTAGAAAACCATAAATACTTATCCAAAAAGCTCCTAGATCTGATAAATGAATTCAGTAAAGTTTCAGGATACAAAATCAATGTACACAAATCTGTAGCACTGCCATATACTAACAGTGACCAAGCTGAGAATTAAATCAAGAACTCAACCCCTTTTATAGTAGCTGCAAAAAAATAAAATACTTAGGAATATACCTAACCAAGGAGGTTTACTGGGGGAACCAGCCCCCAATATTTCAAAGTATGTTCTTTTCTATTTTCCCTAAGTGTGGGCCAGTCTGAGAAATAAAGAGAAAGAGTACAAAAGAGAGAAATTTACAGCTGGGTCTCCGGGGGTGATATCACATGTCAGCAGGTTCCATGATGCCCACCTGAGCCGCAAAACCAGCAAGTTTTTATTACGGATTTCAAAAGGGGTGGGGGTCTATGAATAGGGAATGGGTCACAGGGATCACATGCTTCAGAGGGCAGTAAAAGATCACAAGGCAGAGGGCAAAACTAGAATCACTGATGAGGTTCCACATCCCGCTGGGCACACATTGTCATTGATAAACATCTTAACAGGAAACAGGGTTCGAGAGCAGAGAACCAGTATGACTAGAATTTGCCAGGCTGGAATTTCCTAATCCTAGCAAGCCTGAGGGCACTGCAGGAGACCAGGGCATATTTCATCCCTTATCTTCAACCATGTAATTCAGACACTCCCAGAGTGGCCATTTTAGAGACCTCCCCCGGGAATGCATTCTTTTCCCAGGGCTATTCCTTGCTGACAAAAGAATTCAGCGATATTTCTCCTATTTGCTTTTGCAAGAAGAGAAATATGACTCTGTTCTGCCTGGCCCTGCAGGCAGTCAGACCTTATGGTTATCTCCCTTGTTCCCTGAAAATTGCTGTTATCCTGTTCTTTTCAAGGTGCCCAGTTTTCATATTGTTCAAACACACATGCTTTACAAACAATTTATGCAGTTAACGCAATCATCACAGGGTCCTGAGGTGACATACATCTTCAGCTTACAAAGATGACAGGATTAAGAGATTAAAGTAAAGACAGGCATAGGAAGTTATAAGAGTATTGATTGGGGAAGTGATAAATGTCCATGAAATCTTCACAATTTATGTTATTCCACTGTGGCTTCAGCCGGTCCCTCCATTCAGGGTCCCTGACTTCCCGCAATAGAGGTTAAACACCTGTACGAGGAAAATTAAAAACACTGCCGAAAGAAATTATAGATGACACTAACAAGTAGAACCACGTCCCATGCTCATGGAAGGGTAGAATCAACATTGTGAAAATGACCATACTGCCAAAAGCAATCTACAAATTCAATGCAATCCCCATCAAAATGCCATCATCATTCTTTACAGAACTAGAAAAAAACAATCCTAAAATTCATATGGAACTACAAAAGAGCCCACATAGCCAAAGTAAGATTAAGCAAAACGAATAAATCTGGAGCATCACATTACCTGACTTCAAAATATACTGCAAGGCTATAGTCACCAAAACAGCATGGGAATGGTATAAAAACAGGCACATAGACAAATTGAACAGAATAGAAGTCCCAGAAATAAAACCAAATACTTACAGCCAACTGATCAAACAAAAACATAAAGTGGGGAAAGGACAGCGTATTCAACAGATGGTACTGGGGAAATTGGCAGTCCACATGCAGAAGAATTAAACTGGATCCTCATCTCTCACCTTATACAAAAATCAACTCAAGGTAGATCAAAGACTTAAATCTAAGACCTGAAACCATAAAAATTCTAGAACATTGGAAAAACTCTTCTAGACATTGGCATAGGCAAAGAGTTCATGACCAAGAACCCAAAAGCAAATGCAAAAGAAACAAGATAAATAGATGGGACCTAATTAAACTAAAAAGTTTCTTCAAAGGAAAAGAAATAATCATCAGAGTAAACAGCCCACAGAGTGGGAGAAAATATTCGCAAGCTATACATACAAAAAAGGACTAATATCCAGAATCTACAAAAAACTCAAACAAATCAGCAAGAAATAAACAAATACTCCCATCAAAAAGTGGGCTAAGCAGAGGAACAGACAATTCTCAAAAGAAAATATACAAATGGTTGACAAACATATGAAAAAATGCTCTACATCACTAATTATCAGGGAAATGCAAATCAAAACCACTATGTGATACCAACTTACTCCTGTAACAATGGTCATAATTTAAAAATAAAAAAAAAATAGACGTTGGGGTAGGTGTGATGAAAAGAGAACACTTCTATGCTACTGGTGGGAAATTAAACTAGTACAACCTATGGAAAACAGTACAGCGATGCCTTAAAGAACTAGAAATAGATCTACCATTTGATCCAGCAATCCCACTACTGGAGGAAAAAAGCCATTGTATGAAAAAGACACTTGCACACACATGTTTACAGCACCATGATTCACAATTGCAAAAATATGGAACCACCCCAAATGCCCATCAGTTAATGGGTGAATGAAGAAAATGTGATATATATATATGTGATATATATATATGTGATCTATATATATATAGATCACATATATATATATATGATCTATATATAGATCACATATGATATATATGTGATCTATATACCTTAGAATACTACTCAGCCATAAGAAAGAATGAAATAACATTTGCAGCAACCTAGGGGGAATTAGAAACCATTATTTTAAGGGAAGTAACTCAAGAATGGAAAACCAAATATTGTATGTTCTCACTTATAAGTGGGAGCTAAGCTATGAAGACACAAAGGCATAAGAATTATATAATGGACTTTGAGGACTTCCAGGTATGAGTAGGAGCTGGGTAAGGGATAAAAGACTACACACTGGATACAGTGTACATTCCTCAGGTGATGGGTGCACCAAAACCTCAGAAATCACCACTAAAGAACTTATCCATATAACCAAACACCACCTGCTCCCCAAAAACTATTGAATTAATTTTTCGAAATGATTTTTTAAAAAACTTTTATTGGAAGGACCCTCCGGAGTTCTGAGGAGGAGGCCTGAGCATATGTGGGGAAGGCACAGATGAACACATAGGAGGGATCTCTAAGAAAACAATGGCCACCAGGTCACTGCTAGACTCACCACAGGGCCTTCTAAACCAGGGGGCCCCTCCACGAGCATACCCTGTGGAGTCAAAGGTTAAAACTCACAGGTGACAGGGCCAGCACACTAAACCCCACTTGCTTCTCCTCTTTCCACCACCTCAGCCCTGTGACCAGCATGACTTACAGGTTCCAGCACTGCAGGCTCTCTCTTCTCTCCCTTCAGCCCCCGGGGCCCATGGGCAGCCTAAGGGAGACACACATGTAACCCCAGTGGGGCCCATGAGCAGCCAGGACACCAGGCCTGCCCCCATCTCAACTCCAACCTCGATTTTGGGTCCTCTGGAGACCAGACCAGCCCTACCCACAAGCCCCACAGGCTTCCTCTAAATACTTCTGTTCACAAAACTCTCATGCCTGCCAAGGAGATCTCAGGGTTCCCTGCACCCCAGTTCTCAGTCCCACCTCAGCAAACACAACCTCTCCAAATCCTGAAGAGCCTCTTTCAGAAAGAGGACTTTGAGTCTTTCAGTCTTTCTCCAAAAAAGAAAAGGTATATGCCCTTATGCACAAAATTTTATTTAGAATTTGAAGGAGTTCAAAAATGTAAAAACCCTGCACAGGTTAAGTATCCATACTCCAAGTAAATTTGGAGAGCATTTCCCAGAGATATTCCAAACTCAGGCCTCATAACTGCCTTTTGCAAAACATACAGTTCTTGGGCTCAGTTATCCAAGCCCCAGAGCAGCCCCCTACAATGCACCCCACAGTTCCTCTCCCAGCAGGATGCTTTGCCCTTCTTCTGGCCCTCATGTACACTCCAAGCCAACCAGTTCCCTCCCTTGCACACCTCCATTCAGATGCCTGTTCCCAAATCCAGGCCATAGCCAAGATAAGGGTGGGGAGAAGGTGAAACATTCACCACCACCCCAACTCCCCAAAACAAAGATCTTCAGAATGCCCCTCTCCACCTTCATCCTGACAGCAATGATCCGTTTCAAAATTCTCCCAGATCCCACATCAACCCCAAAGACCCAGACAGCAGCATAAAGGAAAGGCAGCAGAAGCTCACGGGTGCCAAGAGCAGGAGGTGTGGGATGCAGCAGCAGGGTAGAAAAGGCAGCCATAACTGCAAGGCAGGCAGAAGATGTAGCAGAGTAGACAGGAAGCAGTCCAACTGACAGAGAATACTGGAAGATATGAGAACAACTAAGGGACACAAAATAAAATGACAAACACTTGGATGCAAGAGTGATGCCAGGGCCAAGGAAAATTAAACATGGCCAAGATGGCCACAAAACAAACTGGACAAACAGGAAGTGGCTGTACAGACAGGAAGCAGCCAAGAAAAGAGGATCTGGGAAGTGAACCTTCAACAATATGGCTACCATGACCCAGAGTGAAAAGAAAGGCACAAAACAGGTACAATGGGACTCCTGCAGAGGGAATTATGCATGCAAGGCTTAGTGGGTAGATGAGCGGGAGGTACAGAGTAGATGGAATCAGATGAGTGAATAGATAGATGGGTGGAATTGAATACATGGTTGAGTGAACGGTTGGATGTGAAGTGAGTGGGTGAGGAGATGGGTGCATGAGTGTATTGAAGGAGAGAGTGGTTGAGTTCCAGGAAGGATAATGGATAGATGGGTGGCTGAACAGATGCATGCATCCTTGTATGCATGGGTAGATGGGGTGTGTGAGTGGGTGGGTGAGTGAATAGATGGATGGATAAGTTGAAGAGGACAGATGAACAAAAGCATAGTCGAATAGATGTGTGTAAAGAAGGGGAGAGTCATTAAGCAGGGGGAGGATGGACAGGTGAGTGGATATAAGCCTTCATGCATGAGTAGATGGGTAAGTTTGTGATGCATAGGTGGGTAAATGGTTGCGGGAGTGGGTGGTGGATGTGTGCGTAGGTGGACTGGTGAATGAGTGGATGGATGGGGTGGATGAGGAGAGAGATAGGTTCAAGGGATGGATAGATGGAGAGATGAAGACTGAAGGATAGAATAAGTGGCTGTGGACAGTCCTGCCACATAAGTGGACATCTAGTTATTCTGCAGAGATCAGCAGTCCTGAAGATAGGAAATGCAAATCAAAATTCACAAGAAAAAAAATGAAGGCTTAGGAAATAGGAACATTGCATACTGGGGCCAGAAGAGGAGTGGGCACAAAATAAGGGACCAGAAGTCACTCCTTTCTCTGATTTTTGTGGTAACCTCAAAGACTTTCTTCATCTGGGATACAGGCACCAACAATTATCACCCCACAGGTGTCCAACACTGGACTAGTTCTTCAGGGGAGAGGCCGGGTGACTCACATCTTGCAGTCAACAATGAGGGTGACAGACTGGCCCTTCATGGCCATAGCCACAAGGTGCCACCTGGTCATGGAGTGAGAGGTTCAAGTGACTGACTGAAGCAGGGGCGTCAACAGGGTTGGAGATCTGTTGATGAAAGTTGAAACCAATGACGATGAGAGCAGTAATCACAATAGCTGCCATTTATCAAGTGCTTACAGTGCAACAAACACTGTGCCATCACTTTCTCACTTGTTTGTGCCAATTCTATTTACTGTCCATCCTAAGATGTAGAAACTGAGGCTCAAAAAATTTAAGTAACTTGCCCAAGGTACAGGCTAACACAACTTGCAGAGAAGGATGCACTCTAAGCCCAAACTCTGGGCTAGAAGTGACTGAACTTTGGGCAGTGCGTAGGTGTGTTGTGGCCAAAAGAAGGAACAGGGTTTCACAGTTTAGAGCGTACAGGTTCTAGGGCACTTTCTCACAAAAGTGTGGGCCAGGCAGACCAGAGGAGCAAATAGACTTACTTGCCAACTACTAGGGTGAGGCCTCAGAAGACGGGCTAAGCAGGTTGAAGTCGTCCAGTCTGATCCTCATACAGGAAGCTGACAAGTTGGCCTGGCTCCAGGCTCAACTGTTGGACACCTGGGCACTGCAGAGAATCAGGAGGGGAGCTTGGAGACCAGGACGGGTCCAGAAAACAGTCAGGAGAAAGAAATCTTTAGGAAATCCTCCTGGTACCCGAGAGAAATACACACAGAGTGAGAGGCAAAGAGAGCCACCACCCCTTTCCTCCTGGTGTCTGATTCCAGACCCCACCCCATTACCTCCCTCACCGTGTCACTACACTTAGGAAGAGGTAGAGGGTGGGTGTGCTGAGTTGGGCAGTTTATGACACTCAGTAGATAGACAGATACCCCTTGCCCTCCAGACACCATCAGGGAAGTAGGGGAAACTCAGGCCCAGGAGCAAATCCACAGGGGGTGCACCTGGGAGAGTCCATGAGGGTCAGGGGAAGGGACACGCCCTCAGGAGGGAATAAATGGGGGACTTTGTCTCAGAAGGGAGTGCAACTTGCACTTGTGGTCACAGAGGGCTGCTAAGAACTCCTCAACAGGACAGTTCAGTTATGGGAACTGGGAAGGGGTAAGACTAGGAAGAGAGGAGGCTGGAGAAGTGTGTGATGTCGCTGAACAGTGTGCAGCAGGAGGGAAGGGGTGCAGATGAGAAGAGAACTTGAAGGGTCAGCAATTCCATCAGCCTTTGGGGTAGAGAGCACATGAATTGAGAAAGAAAGCTGAGATATAGCTTGTAAAACAGCTGGAATTCAGATCTCTCCTAAGTCCTCTTCCTTTCACATATTTTGTCACCTGCCTCGAGACACACACAGTTACTGTCATCCCTGGGTTCAGTACTGTAAGCCCAGACCCATCTTCCCTGCTCCCTTTATACCTGATCCTCCTATTTCTCTGCCCTGTTTAGGTCCCAGGCAGAAGCTAGGTGGTCATCTCTGTGCCCTCTCTGGTCCTCCAGGTGAACAGAACTTAGCATTCAAGGAGTTCCCTAAAGTCAATTAATTTCACCCCCAAACCCCAGCTGACTTTGAGGGCATCCGCATGCATCATGTCGCCAACATATCCTGACAAGGGGAAGGGCCACATTTCTGAAGCCAGAGAAGAAGCTCAATTCTGGAATGATGGGGATGAAGGAGAAATAATTGCTCACATTATGTAAAACTGCTCTCTGAAAGGATTTCAAAACCAAGGTAAGATTTCTGAAATGACTTCTGTTGAACTTCTGACTCCACTCTACTTCCTCCTTCCTGGAAATCTTTACCTCCTTGGCTTATGTGCCAGTATATTCTACTAATTCTTCTGCCTCTCTGCTTCTCCATTTTCTTTGAATAGTTCTCTTTTGACATTTTGTTCATTATATATTTTCCATTAATTTAGATTTCTTAAGATATTTCATTAAAATATGATTGACTTTTATTACTGAGTTCTTTTGGTATCCTCCTAAATTTTGCACCTAAGGTAAGTGCATCCCTAGTCCCAGCCTGGCTTTCCACACTGTCTCTTAATATCTAACATTCTCTATTTATTTCATTCATTTCATGTAAATAATTGTAAATCCTTATAGATAGAATTATAAATGTGTGTAAACAATGAAAAATTGAAAACAGAGAGAATATATCCTATGTCCTACTGGATATTAACATATACTACAATGTCATAGTAAAAAAATAGTATCAAAAGCCTACTATATGTCGAACATTGTTAGATGCTAAATATTCAAATAAAAGTAAGACATAGGTCTTGTCCTCCTGATGTTTACAGTTCACAGAAGAGAACACAAGTGACAAGACAACAGCAGGCCCAGATGGATAAGTGCAGATATGGGGCAGGCACAAGATGCTGCTGTCAAGGCATCAGGGAAGGCTTCCTGGGGAACAGATGGCTTCAATGTAGGCAGTCCGAAAACAGGGCAGAAGCCACTTCTCACACAGGAGGAAGCAGGTTCAAAAGTGTGGGCCCAGTGTGGCAATGACATATCTGAAGAACTTCAGCTGCTTCAGTATGAATGGAGCCAGCTTTGGATGTGGAACAGCAGCAAGAAAAAAGGAAAAATAGACAGGCAGGGGCTGGATCATGACAGATGTTACATGCAAAGCTCAGGAGTGGCTACTCTGTCCTGGAAGTCATAAGGAATCATTGAAGGATTTTAAGCAGGAGAGTGATGGCGCATTTGCAATTTAGGAAGATCACTACGGCAACAGTGGGCAGCATGAGTGAAAGAAGTTGGTTCAAGAGGCAAGACTAATAGTGCCTGAACAAAGAGTGAGGAAATGGGCATAGGAGTAAAATGATGGAAGAAGAGGACTTAATTTGATTGACATTAAAGGGATTATTGGTGAGTGATGTCGGTGGCATCCGACTTAGAAAACTCCCAGATAACTCTTATTCCTAGACTGGCCAATGCAATCATCTCTTTTGTGTGTGTGTGTGTAAGTGTGTGTCACTTTTCTAAATTATTTTGATTGACAAAAATTATTTATATTTATCATGTATAATATGTTGTTTTGAAATGTATGTACATCATGGACCGGCTACATCAAGCTAAAGAACTTATGGCTCACCTCACATACTTATTTTTTGTGGTGAGAACACTTAAAATCCACCCTTTTAGCAATTTTCAACAATACATTGTTAGCAACTATAGTCCATGTTATACAATAAAACTCTTAAAATTATTCCTCCAATCTAAATGAAATGTATCTTTTGAAATGTATCCTAAATGAAATGAAATGGATGTATCCTTTGACCAACATCTCCCCAACCCAATGCAAACATCTTGATTCCATTCATTAAAAAGGGTAATGAGAGAAGACAGCCTGACTGAGAGAAGAGACTGAGTTCAGTGTGGGGCTATTGCACTTAGAATATCTAAAAGTTATCTAAGGAAAAATAATATGTAAACATTTTTGTATGATGGGTGGTCTCAGTAGAGGAGTTTAAGCCAGAGAACTGAGAGTCATCAAGCATAGGTGCAGGTTAGATGAGCTTTTCCAGGAAGAGTGCCAAAAATCAGAAATGCAGGGATCTCAGGGTATGATGAGAGAACATAATAATTAAGAGGAGATTTCAAAGGATGATAAGGAGGATTCAGTAAATAGGAGAAAAATAAGGACAGAGTAGCTCATTAGAAAGAAGTGGATTATGGTGCAAATATTATCAGTAACTCAAGTCAGAGGCACTGACAAGAACCCACTGGATTTGACCTTCTACAGAGGTTTCTGATGGCCGTGATGAGAGGATCCTCAGGGGTGTACTGGAGACAAAAGTCAGAAGCTTAGCTCCAAGTGTGAGGACACAGAGAGAGTGTCTCTAGGGTAGGATGCAGACTGAAGGCAAGGTTGTTTTTTATTAGTTGGTTCATGGTTATGTTGCTTTTTTCCCCCGTAGGTTATAGTGGTACAGGTAGTATTTGGTTACATGAGTAAGTTCTTTAGTGATGATTTGTGAGATTTTGGTGCACCTATCACCTGAGCAGTATCCCTTGCCCCCTCCCACCTTTCCTCTCAGGTCCCCAAAGTCCATTGTATCATTCTTATGCCTTTTCATCCTCTTAGCTTAGCTCCCACATATCAGTGAGAATATATGTTTAGTTTTCCATTCCTGAGTTAGTTCACTTAGAATAATGGTCTGCAATCTCATCCAGGTCGCTGCAAATGCCATTAACTCATTCCTTTTTACGGCTGAGTAGTATTCCATCATATATATATCACAGTTTCTTTACCCACTCGTTGATTGATGGGCATTTGGGTTGGTTCCATGATTTGTGATTGTGAATTGTGCTGCTATAAACACGTATGTGCAAATATCTTTTTCATATAATGACTTATTTTCCTCTGGGTAGATGCCCAGTAGTGGGATTGTTGGATCAAATTATAGTTCCACTTTTAGTTCTTTAAGGAATCTCCTCACTGTTTTCCACAGTGGCTGTACTAGTTTACATTCCCACCAGCAGGGTAGAAGAGTTCCCTGATCACCACATCCACACCAATATCTACTGTTTTTTTATTTTTTTATCATGGCCATTCTTGCAGGAGTAAGGTGGTATCACATTGTGGTTTTGATTTGCATTTCCCTGATCATTAGTGATGTTGAGCATTTTCTTATGTTTCTTGGCCATTTGTATATCTTCTTTTGAGAATTGTCTATGCATGTCCTTAGCCCACTTTTTGATGGGGTTGTTTGTTTTTTCTTACTGATTTGCCTGTGTTCATTGTAGATTCTGGATATTAGTCCTTTGTCAGATGTATAGATTGTGACTACTCTGTGGGTTGTCTGTTTATTCTGCTGATGGTTCCTTTTGCCATGCAAAAGCTCTTTAGTTTAATTAAGTCTCAACTATTTATCTTTGTTTTTATTGAATTTGCTTTTGGGTTCTTGGCCATGAAATCCCTGCCTAAGCCAATGTCTAGAAGGGTTTTTCCAATGTGATCTTCTAGAGCTTTTATAGTCTCAGGTCTCAGGTTTAAGTCCTTAATCCATCTTGAGTTGATTTTTGTATAAGGTGAGAGATGAGGACCCGGTTTCATTCTCCTACATGTGGATAGCCAATTATCCCAGCACCATTTGTTGAAAAGGGTGTCTTTCCCCACCATATGTTTTTGTTCGCTTTGTCGAAGATCAGTTGGCTGTAAGTATTTGGGTTTATCCCTGGGTTCTCTATTCTGTTCCCTTTGTCTATGTGCCTATTTTTATACCAGTACCATGCTGTCTTGGTGACTATGGCAGGGAACGTGAGCTTTTTCCCCGCAATCCTATACTGGCCCCTTCTACTGCATAATTATTTTCTTCTCTTGAATTTTACATGCTAGTCTTCTATTTACATTTTAACATTTATATAAACAAATGATGCCACTTTTACATTTTCTTTATTAGATTAGGAGGTCGTACAGGATCACATTTATAGGTCTTTAAATTAAGGAGTAATATTCTTTGAAAGTTTATGAAACTATTCAGTATAAACACCACAGAATCAGATGTTTTGGAAAATGTAGGGTCTTTTATGACATTTTTTCATTTCTTCCTCATTCACTGTATAATTTTTAGTCCCATTTTTCCAAAGCAATTACAGATCCGTTGATCTAATTTGACCTTAAGAGCCCTGCTGTAAAGGCAGGTCATATCATCCCCATACTGAAGACAAAGAACTGAAGTCCAAGACAGGCAGTGTCCTTCAAGCTGCATACTTCCATGGTAGTGTAGGTGGTGTGTCCATGCTCCCAGGTGTAAGGCCCCTAGACTGAGCCCTGCTGACCCTGATGACAGTCCTATGGAAGGAGCCAGTATCCCCCGCACATCTCAGGACTCACAGACATGTGGGAGGAAGAAAATATGAATGTGCACTAATCTGAAGCACGGCCTTGAACAAAGGCAAAACAGACTCCAGGCCTCATTTTCAGTTCTGGGATGGATACTCTAATCTCTCTAAATCATGCCACTGAATGACCTTTTACACATTGAGATAGCATTTCTTCCACACCAGGCCATGTCCTGTGGGTGTGTGAGGTGTGGCAGAATTGGGGAAATGATAATCCCTGTAGGTGGGCCAGCAGAATATCTGAGATCACCTTCAGAGCAAAGAAAACACATCATCTCCCCAAAACTCATGACTCTGACTGGTTAAAATGAGTGTCAGTGTTCTCCATCTGTCCTCGTAACAGCATCACTGGCTCTATATTGTCAGATCTTTAATACTAACTTTCTGCCCAGTGAGCAATGACTCATACAAAGCTCAGTGCCCATTGGTTCTTTTCTCAGAGTCTGTCCAATCCTAGGGTCACAGAAGACTGCTTGGGTTCATGGTCTCTAATATTTCAGACAGGAGCTCCCTTTAATGAGTTCTTGTTTTCCTGACTGCAGCTCTCTTCATTCTGCCAACCTTTTCCAACTCCATGATGATCCTGCAGGTTTCAGGGGGCCCCTGGACAGTGGCTCTGACAGCATTACTGATGGTGCTGCTCATATCTGTGGTCCAGAGCAGGGCCACTCCAGGTAAGAGCAGAGCTGCTATTCCTGGAGGGTCTGGCTCAGGGAACAATTCCTAGGGGACTTTCTCTTTATGGAACCAGACTCTGAGACAGCATGTGGGGCTCCTGCCACGGCCTAGTGTCCTTCTATCACAGCTGGAGAATCAAACTCACCTCCTATAGGATAGGTTGCTATCCACCAGGTCTATTCTCTCTCCAGGAACATGGACACAGTAAATAAGGGGAGGTGCTCAGGGGTCAAGTTGCTTGTCTATGGGGAAATGGGGCCAAGAGGTTCAGGATAACCTTGGACAGACAAGGTTTCAGAGAGAGAGGTTGGCAAGTGCAGACTCCTGGGTGTGCTCACATCTGCATCCAACCTTGAGGGGACTCAGGCAGAGAGCCCTTAGCTGGTGTGTCCAGACTACAAGTATCACTGAGGATTCAGTGCTCACAGAGAATGCCTCTCATTCTCCAGGGTGGAGCAGGAGCCAATGCTCCCTGGACAATGAAGGCAAGATGGGAGGGAGGGGGACAGGTTCGAGCCCCTAAAGGCACTCTTGTTGAAGGTATTTCTCCCAGCCTCCCCAGAACTTGGTTAGAGTATTAGGATGGGTTGAAACCTGTCAGAAGAATGAGATAAGGATGTGTGAGTACGTGAAAGAGATTGAGTGTAGGTTATCAGACAGCCAAGAAAGCAGTAACCAAGGGAAAAACCTCTGTCTCCTGCTGTCTCCTTGTGGCTGGTGTAATATTATGGCTTCTATGACCCATTGTTTTTCTCTCAGGATGTTCTTACTTTTCTGGTCCAAATTTACACCAACACCCTGAGAGGAAGGACTGCAGAGTAGGTGTCTTAGTTTTCCACTGACTTCCACCTTTCTGCATAGACCCTCCCTCTGAGACCCTTCCACATCCACCTAGGACACCCCTAGAAAGTGCTGTTCTCATGTCACCTCCTCATTTTCCAGGGTAACAGTATTCGAATCTCCTGAGGACAGCCCCTCAAACCCCAAAGCCCCTCACCTATTACCTCAGGTTCATTGTCCGGGAAAGGGTGGACAAACTGCACTTGTAGTCACAGGGGTGCTGAGAACTAACCAGCAGAATGGCTCAGCCCTGGGAACTGGAGAGGGGTGAGGTTGGGGAGAGAGGAGGCTGGAGCAGCGCTGGTGACACTGAACAGTGTCCAGCAGGAGGTCCATAGCAACAGTGTCCATAGGCAGAGTTGTTTGTAGGATGAGGGGTGGTGTTGGGAAACGCCGTGGAAACCCTCAAGGTGCGGGGTAGCAGAAAGCACAGGAGGGAGCGTGATGATGGTGGGCAGTGAACAGGTGGATGGGCGAAGACTGGGTTGAGGTTGGTAGGGGAAATGAGATGAGGCAGTGGAGCCATGTGACAGGAACCGAGGGTGGGTTACCAGAGCTCCCCGTGTAGAATGAATGTCCAATCAAAGCCTGCTGGAGGGAGAGCTGGAGCCAAGGGGAGTGGGTAGAGTGGGCAGGGCCAATTCCACAATTCCCTGCATGCTCTTCCAACTCCACACACATCTCCATCCTCAGAGCACAAGAGGAAAGGCACAAGGAGCCAGGCTGTGGCTTAAAGTGAGAGAGGGGAGGGTGGAGAAAAGCTTGGCTGAGACAACACCTAGGGAGCAGGAGATGACACGGCAGGTGAAAAAACCAGACTCCTGGAGGCAACACCCTTTTGTCTCTGACAAGCTTTAAAATGGGCTTTTTACAGCTGAGTTTCTTACCTCACCCCACCCACTACCCCAAGCATTAGGGCCACACTCCCGAGTCCTCCTGTCACACCAGCTGGGCACTTGCAGAAGCTCATTGTGCATTTGAGTCTTTGGGTACTCACTCTTCTGTTAATCTAACTCCTCAAATAAAATCCCTAGCACAAAAGAGAGGGGGGAAGATCCAGTCAGCAAACAGCCAACAAACACTTTTCAACCATTAAGATCTGGTGCCCATGGAAAGTCTTCTTGAGGTTTTCCAGTAGCTCATAAGCTGATCCAGTTCCTCTTTCATATGCATTTATTTAGAATTTTGCTCCTATTCAAACAGGTCACACAGTGAAAAGAGGAAGGGAACTAACATAGATTGAGCAGTAACAGATACAATACTATGTATTTGACATATGTGAGCTCATTTGGTTCTCACAGCAGTTTTGCAAGGTAAATAGTATTATTACTATTTTGCCTTTCAAGAAATGGAGAGTTAGAAGGTTGTTTCTTGTCCAAGATAACTTAGTAATCAGTCGTAGTGCAAGAACTGGAATCCCTACCTGTGACATGTTCCTTTTCTTACCCATATGGACTCCATTATATCTTTCTGCAATTATATTTTAATATAACCTATTCTGAGTGAGAGATGAATTCACTCAGATCATTGGTTTTCAAATTGTGCTCTGGGTAACTCAATTGTCAAAGATTCCGCAAACAGGATAAAGTTTTCCATATACAAAAAAAAAATGAAGTTTCAAATTCCACCATATACTCATCACTTATATCTGCTTTGCAGGTAAAATTCCGTTTAAAAAGTTAAATGTTGCAAAAGAAAGTTTTGAAATTCTTACTCTTGACTAAAACATGTTCTCTTATTGGTGAATGAGGAAGAGGAACAAAGACTAACAAATTAAAATGAGAGGATACACACTCAGAGTGGGGCACTTGAATAGGGAGGGGCAGACTAAAGGGGCTGGGGGCGATGGGCCTGGGTGATTAGGGGGCTGGAGCCCAAGGCACTAGGAGAAGAGGCGGGTTAAGATATCTAAAGTCCTGGGATCTTGCCTTAGAGATGACACTGGAAACTGCAGGCCGAGTCTACGGTGCCGCTGTGCCCAGCCCCACCCCTTCTCTACTGTCCTCTGCCACCAGCTGTGCATCTTCTATGAGGGGTGAGGTTAATAAACGTGAGTTGCTAATTTGTAGAACATGAAACAGGTGTCCAAAACAAACCTTAATTTGCTGTGTGCAAATCACAGCACCTTAATTTCCCCACTGTGACCAGGAACAGATCAGGTCTGAAGAGGCTCAGACATGTGCTGGGTCATTGCTACTTCTGTATACACATGCACCTGCCGGACACTGCCCATGGTGCTCCCTAGGAAGAACTGCAGGTGGAAAAGGCTGCCACATTTCTTTATGTAAAAATGACACCATCAATGCCTCTAAACCTAAAGGAGTCCAGTCACTTAGCTTTCTGGTTGTTCTGGTGATTTTCATTGATTAAGATATTTTCCAGGTGTTTTGAGATCAAGTCTTTCTACAGCCATGTTTGAAAGTGAAAATTAACTTTCAGGCTATATAGTCTTTCTTATGGCAAACTTCAAGAAGTTTTAAGAAATGCATTTCTGGCCAAGTGCGGTGGCTCACGCCTGTAATCTCAGCACTTTGGGTGGCCGAGGAGGGCAGATCTCGAGGTCAGGAGTTCGAGACCAGCCTGGCCAACATGGTGAAACCCCATCTCTACTAAACATACAAAAATTATCTGGGCGTGGTGGCGCACACCTGTAATCCCAGCTACTCAGGAGGCTGAGGCAGGAAAACTGCTTGAACCCTGGAGGCGGAGGTTGCAGTGAGCTGAGATTGCACCACTGGACTCCAGCCTGGGCGACAGAGTGATACTCTGTAGAAAGAAAGGAAGAAAGGAAGGAAGGAAGGGAGGGAGGGAAGGATACTCCATTGAAAGAAGAAAGAAGGAAGGAAGGAAGGGAGGGAGGGAGGGAGGAATGCATGGAAATGCATTTCTGCATTTCCAGCATGCAGAGATGTCCAGCATGCAGAACAGCAAGAGCAACTTGAGGTATTCTCAAGAAACTGGCAGAGAAGAGAGAGAACCTAGCTGTAGAAAGGGAAAGAAGGAATGGAGGGCTTCCTGGAGGAGGTGGCATTTGAGCCAGGACTGACATCAGGATGGAAATGTCAGGCAGGGAGTTGGGTAGGGGGAGCAGCTCTGCCCTCCAGGTCCCCAACTCCTCCTATCCCTACTGTTTCTCTGCCTGAGGGACCCTCCCCCTGATGAGATTCTGCTCCTCCCTGAGACGTGAAATGTCTCCCCCTCCTCCTCCAGCCGCCAGCAGAAAGGGCTGCTTTCCCTTCAGCGTGCGCCCCTCCCTAATGATCACTCAGCCACCCTGAGCAGTGAGTCTCATTCTTTTCAGTAAATCCTCTCGCTGCGTGGTGAGAAAACTGATGCCTGGAGTCTGTGACCTGCCTAGGACCACAGAACTCGGTAGTAGGAAAAATCGTATTTTTAAATCCAGTCCTGAGTGGGAAGATTTGAGGAAATAGCTAATATTGAGGAGGGGGGTGTTGTTGGGAGTGGCACCACCCCCATCTCTCCCTGCTCTTCACAGAGAATTCCGTCTACCAGGAACGGCAGGAATGCTATGCGTTCAATGGGACTCAGCGCGTTGTGGACGGGCTCATCTACAACCGGGAGGAATACGTGCATTTTGACAGCGCAGTGGGGGAGTTCCTAGCAGTGATGGAGCTGGGGCGGCCCATAGGCGAGTACTTCAATAGCCAGAAGGACTTTATGGAACGGAAGCGAGCCGAGGTGGACAAGGTGTGCAGACACAAGTACGAGCTGATGGAGCCACTCATCCGGCAGCGCCGAGGTGAGGGCTGTGAACCAGGGCTCCTGGGGCAGCCGTGGGGGCCGGGCCCAGGGAGTAGGGGCAGCCGGGCCGGCCTAAGGGACCTTAGTGCCAGGAGGGAAGGGGACTTTGAGCTGGGGATTGATGGGAGGAGCCCAACCGGAGCTTGTCAGGAGGGTGAGCACGGAGATTGGGCTGAGCATGGAGTGAGGAGGATGGAGGGAGAGAGACCCCTGGGACTTCATCAGGCCTGGCAGCTGACTGCATGTGGGGTGAGGGGAAACGAGGCCACAGGACATCGTGCAGGGGTGCGGTGTGGAGATGAAGGTGGAGATGGCACAGCAGGCCACGCAGAGAAGAAACCTGCAGGGAGATGGCC